>NW_019805499.1:0-154139 GCF_000001405.40 Homo sapiens
AAGTTACTATGTCTGGCCTTCAAAACAAATTCAATAGAAATGAATAAATATAATAAAAATTCCAGCTAGGTGCTCATCCCTGAGCCGGAATGGGCTCTCCCGTTGTTAGAGAGGGGGATTAAAAAGTTAAAAAAACACATCTTCACCAAACAGATTTTCTGCTTCATGCAACCAGGCAGACTAAAGGAGAATTATAATGGGAAATGGTTTTTCACCATATGGTTTAATATCATTTAATATGGAGGCTGGTGCCACCTAAAATCACCTCTCATTGCAGCTGAGGCACACGCTGTCTACCTAGGGGCACCAGTAAGCTCTAATGGCTTCATTTTACCATCTGAGATAAGTGATTTATCCAAGATGTATGGAAGATGAGAACACACGACACTAATCTCCAAGTTGATGGTGGTTCTGCCATATTGATCATCTTTAAAAACACCAAGACATTTAGGAATTTTAAATATCAGTATCCAGAAAACTAACTACTTGGAGTATGCAATGACATACACATTTGAGTGCTAGCTATGGGCACAAGATTCAGGGAGATATTGGCTTATAGAACAAGTACGACACCTGCAGTTTTGGAGTTTTAAACTTCGTGTTTGATTAAACAGAAAACAATAGCAACAACAACAAAGCCCAATTTGAAGGCAAAGCAAAAGCATGCAATTTTCTTCAAATACAGTAAGACTCCACTTGTTACTGAGAACAGTTCTTGCCTTCATCGATTCATAGATCTCATTCTCTGAAAACACACGGTCCCTCAATTTGACTCAATCCCTTCATGATGAAAATGCATCATTTACATATGTGGAGTATGTCATCATTTAATCAAACAGGCAGAGGATAGTAGTAACTTGATTTTTAACAATATAGTAAAAACACATTTAATTGCACCCTTTTGACCTATAGAAAATCAATGTAATTTTACATTAAACTTGATTTCAATTCTGTTAGATTGCTAAACATATTTCTGAGAGTATGTTTAAGGATGTGAAACAACACACGCAATATTAAAATGTATCCAGACAGGGATCATCTCGCCCTGATCCCAGGACACCATTTGCACGTGGAACTCTCATTTGCTTAACGGGAAAGATGCCCCTGCAACAGTGAGGGAGCTGCCTGCAGGAAGGAGGAAGGTAGGAGGAAGGGTTACAATTATGTTTTCCCTATCATTAGTCTTCATTCTTGAATTCATAAGTCAAAGCCAAGGTCTACATTCCTCACAATGCTGAGACATTAGTGGAATGTGGAAAAACATCCATCCTCTTAGACTGATAATGTCCTTAATGTGCCAGGAGGCTTTCTGTGCTGTGCCTCATGGCCAATTATACAAGTTCATTCTTCCACGCCCGCCTCTAGGTTCAGACGTGAAGTCCATGTTGTGAATGTAAAAGCAGACCCCTATGACCTTCACGAGATGGGTTTCTAAACATACTTAGAAGCAAGTCCCCACCCCCACAATCCTCACTGTACACACAGAAAACAGACAGCTCTCCTGGGATAATTCAGTATAGCCCAATTCCTAAACCAATCCCCAAAACTAGAGGTTGAAACCGATAGCTCGAGGCCATATTAGCCCCCCATGATTGGTGTCTCAATCCTTTTGTGTTGGCCTGTTCAAAGTTTAAAAAAACTTAATTACCTATTTAAAATGAGGAGTGGGGTGAAAACATCATATCAAATTCTAGGTTTCTGCCTTCTCTTGTGAAATAAAAACGAAAACATAATATTTGCTCATGATACTACATTGCTGCCTGGAAACTACTAAGAAAAAAAAGAGTATTTATTACCTTTGCACAGGGCTTAGACTGTTCCTATTCCCACTGTCTTCAGTCTCCATGATTCCTTTAAATCAACTGATCAATTGATCAATCAATCAAGCACAAACATACATATTTTTCATGTACTTCCTTCTTACATGATTACATAAGTCCTTCTACTTATCTCATTTATTTTATTTATTCAACTTGAGCTGTCTCCTTGGAACACTCTTCACGGTTAAACATGGAAGCTCTACAGTTCAGTGGCCTGAGTTTGATTCCTGACCTTGATTTGTATCCATGGCATGACCTTGGGGAAGGTCCAGAAGTTTGGGGAGCCTATTTCTTGAACTGTAACATGGGGATAATAATAGTAGCTACCTCTTTGGGCCACTGTGAGAAGCAACGAGATACCGTGTAGGAAACAGCACCAGGCCTGGGGAAACCCTGCAGTGCCTGCTGCTGCTGCTGATGTGGCTACTGTCCCTGTTGCCATTCATTCTCTCATAAAGTCGGTTTCAAAAGGAAGGCTCAAATGCACTATTGTCCTTCCCTCTGCCTTCATCAAGCACAGAAACAGAGGGAGACTGACAGCCACACCTTATATTTACCATCCTGACACTGTCTTCCCCACAGCCTTGGGCTCTAAGCTGGAGGAAACCGGCAGTGCTTTCTTGTGGGGAAGATGGGGCAGGCCTGCCAGGCAAAAGGGTTTTGACACAGCAGCCTAAAAATAAGAAGGTTTCTCAAAAATTATGATGGAGAAAAGTAGAGATTCTGTAAGTATTAAGTTAGTGCAAAGGTAATTGTGGTTTTTCCCATTATTTATTTATTTATTGTTATTATTATTTTTTGAGAGGGAGTTTTGCTCTTGTTGCCCACGCTGGAGTGCAGTGGCACGATCTCGGCTCACTGCAACCTCCGCCTCCCAGGTTCAAGCAATTCTCGTGCCTCAGCCTCCCGAGTAGCTGGGACTACAGGCGCCCGCTACCACGCCCAGCTAATTTTTTGTATTTTTAGTAGAGATGGGGTTTCACCATGTTGTTCAGGCTGGTCTCGAACTCCTGACCTCAGGTGATCCACCCACTTCGGCCTCCCAAAGTCCTGGGATTACAGGCATGAGCCACCATGCCCGGCCTATTTATTTATTTATTTAGAGACAGAGTCTCCCTCTGTCCCCCAGGCTGGAGTTGAGTGGCACTATCTTGGCTCACTGCAACCTCTGCCTCCCGGGTTCAAGCCATTCTTCTGCCTCCGCCTCCTGAGTAGCTGGGATTATAGGCATGCACCACCACACCCAGCTACTTTTTGTCTTTTTAGTAGAGATGGGGTTTCATCATGTTGGCCAGGCCGGTCTCAAACTCCTGACCTCAAGTGATCCACCCGCCTCGGCATTCCAAAGTGCTGGGATTACAGATGTAAGCCATGGCTCCCAGCCTTGCCATTACTTTTAATGGCAAAAACCACAGTTACTCTTGTATCAAGCTAGCAGGTTCCTTCAACATACTGTTGTAGTAGGTTTCTTGTACTGTTCTAGTAGGTTCCTTTGGCGTACTGTTCTAATAGTTTCTTTCAGTGTACTGTTCTAGTAGGTTCCTTCGGCGTACTGTTCTCCTTGTTGGAGCTGCTGATACCTGGCCCTGTACCCTGCTGATCCATTCCCCAACAGTCACATATCCACTTATTCACTCATGTGGAATTTCTGTTTGATTTGGGAACTGCTTTGTGACAGCGCAATGCTCAATGCTGGGATGGTTGAGCTGAAATGAGACAAACATGGTCCCGATGCTCAGGGGAGGTCATTCTAGGGGCAAGGAGACTGCAATAAGCAAATAAACTAATGACATTTCAGACACTGGTGAATATTATTACAAAAATAAACTCCAGACAATAGTTTTTAAAGATTCTTGGGGAAGGTCTCCCTAAGGAGGGAAATCTGAATGAAGAGTTAGTCAGCCATGGAAAGACCCAGAAGATGAGACTCTAAGCAGGTGACCCAGTGCAGAGGCCCTGGGGTTGGCACCAGGTCCCATGTTCACTGATCAGATGGGCCTGTGTGGAAGATGCCAAGCACACATTATCTCATGCAATTGTTCCAACAACCCAGTGAGATGGATAAACTATTATCCCCATTTTGAGGATGCAGAAACGGAGGTATGGGGAGGTTAATAGTTCCCCTGTAAGTGAGGGAAAGAGAAATTCAACTTAGGTAGTGTGTTCTTCCTTCCAGAAGCGAGATGCTCAGTTACTTAGCTCTGCAGGTCAGCTTCGTATTCAGCTTCCTGCTGGGCTTCTGTGAGCCTGGTGTCCCACCTGACTGACCCACCGTCAGCTCAGCCCTTTCCCTGTCCACCTCAGTTCCAACTGCTCCATGTCTGGCCACCCTCATGAAACTCGCCAGTTTTGATTTCTGTTCAAATAACCTTGGATAGAAAAGGGACTGCTATTGGAAAATGAAACCATGCTGAGCACAGACTTCAATAAAAGATGGATCTCACGTTTGTGCAAGAATATTCCAAAGTGGTACATGGGGGCTATTTCTATTTTTTCTGTTCAGTGTTCATGGTGTTTCCCCCAACTCTGTGCATGAAGACTGTAGTTAGCTTTTAGAAAGACTAAATATGCCATAGCTATACAAACTTCTTTTTCCCTTAAAACATGGGAAGCCTTAGATGTAAAAATAGCCGTTAAATCTTTATTATTTCTACTACTTGGAAGAGGAGCTTGCATAATCCACTCGGGTTGTGTATACATCATCTCCACCCCTGCTTAGTTGTGAATTGTCTCAAGAAGAAAATATTGGATACCACCCACTAATCACCCATTAACAAGCACATATAGGTTGTGATACAAAGAGCTCTTTAAGTGGATTAATTGAAAGCATCGCTGAATGAGCTGGAGGATTTCAGCTAATGACTTTGAAAAAGCACTTGAAACAATTAATGGTGACTAATGACACTAAATAGTATAATAAATACCACTGTTGACATTTTGATAGGAAAAGTCACCAGACAGAGGTCGTCCTTATTTCAGAAAGTGGAAGCAGCACCCAGGAGAAGTTTCAAGTCAGGACAGTCTAACAAAATGATCTAATTCTTGCTTACTCTTAGTCCCAAAAAGGCAGGCTTTCATGGTCTGGATAAAAAAGTGTGGAGTACACACCCTAGACCCCAATCAAGTCCATTCCTAGCCTGCAACCTGTGTTCTGTTGTCTCGCACAGTTGGGAAAGGCATCTTCAGTCTCTGAGCTTCCCACGCACATTTGCTGGAATTGTCTTTCAAGGCACAGAAGCCTAAAACTCTGCGATGATTGGCCAGGCGCAGTGGCTCATGCCTGTAATCCCAACACTTTGGGAGGCCGAGGAGGGCGGATCAGTTGAACTTAGGAGTTCGAGACCAGCCTGGCCAACATGGCGAAACTCCTTCTCTACTAAAAACACAAAAATTAGCCGGGTGTGGTGGCAGGTGCCTAAAGTTCCAGCTACTCAGGAGGCTGAGGCAGGAGAATTGCTTGAACCTGGGAGGTGGAGGGTGCAGTGAGCCAAGATTGCACCACTGCACTCCAGCCTGGGCAACAGAGCAAGACTCCATCTCAAATAAATAAATAAATAAATAAAGCAAAACAACCCGTTATGCTCTAGTAGGGTCTCCTTAATCCTCTGGAGCCTGACGTGGAGTTCTTCTTAATGTCTTAGATCTCGTTTGGACTTATAAAATATTTTAGTTTTGTTTTTATCTTTTTGTTTTTTGGAAACAAGATCTCACTCTGTCTCCCAGGCTGGAGTGCAGTGGCAAGATCTCGGCTCACTGCAACCTCTGCCTCCAGCATTCAGAGGATTCTCCTGCCTCAGCCTCCTTAGTAGCTGAGGCTACAGGCATGCGCTGCCACCCCGCCTGGCTAATTTTCGTATTTTTGGTAGAGATGGGGTTTCACCATGTTGGCCAGGCTGGTGTGGAACTCCTGACCTCAAGTGATCTGCCTGCCCCTCAGCTTCCCAAAGTGCTAGGATTACAGGCATGAGCCACCATGCCCAGTCCTGCCCCGCCTTTTTTTAAATTTAGCTTTTAAGTTCACAGGTACATGTGCAGGTTTGTTCTATAAGTAAATTTGTGTCATGGGGGTTTGTTTTATATGTTAGTTTTTTTGATTTCACTAATTTTTGTCCATCTTACTTCCAGTTGTGTTCAGTAGGAGTTTTGGTTTTCTGAGAATTACAATTAAAAAAAAATTCATAGTTATTCATATGCTTATTAGCTATTTCATCTATTTCCTGATAATGAAATTTTTGGATATGCCTTCAAGTTGAAATTAATAAATCCAGTAGCATATTCCAACTACCTCTTACCTCTTTATCATCTCTGAGTTAGTACAAATACATATCTGGGCCATGAGAGTAATGGGTGAATGTAAAATATAAATTGAAGCTCATTTTCACAATGATACAAATAATAATAAGGCCAGCCCATCCTCTGTCTCAAACATTTTCCCCAGGTCCTGAGGATGCCACCTATTTCCAAAGTAGACTTGCCATTTCAGAACAGAACAGATATTTTTCAGTCATTGCAGTTGTTGGGGCACTGATGTAGGGAAGGTTAATAAAATCCATAGATTAAAAAGCCACTGCCTTTTTTTTTTTGCCATGAACCCAGAAAGAGTTACTAACAATCACCAATATTTCATGTTTCGGGTTTTGTTTCCTCCCTAAAAGTTGACAGATTTTAAAGTTCAGAAAAGTGACAGAGCAGACAAAAGGAGTTAGAATCTTAAAAAAAAAAAAAAAAAAAAGTCTTCTGATGAGAAAGCAGAGTTTCAGTCCACTTTTAAAAAAGGAAATTCAGATTACCTTGAATAAGCAGCTTCAGCAGTATTTACACATCAGCAGCCGATCTCCGCACAGTTTTCCTAAGTGCTCTCGCCTACTTTTTTGACTGTGATAATTACCACTACCCTAGAAAACACCTTCCTCTATTTCAGGGACAACTTGAGTCCTAAAGCCAATATACAGTAGAGGGGACTGAAGTCCTCCGCACTTGTCCTGCAGACTGTGCTCATTCCGCTGAGCCCCGAGCTGTCTGAGGGAGAGGAGCTGCATGCGGCCATTTCCATTCTCTCCCTTCCGCTTCTCTAGTGGATAATTCCTGCTGGCCATTTAACACTCAAGCCGGAGTGCTGGGAAAGGAAGAGCACGGTCCCTTTAAATGATACGGAAGCCGGGAAGGAAAGCGCGGGGTAGAAAGGGCAGAGTCCGTGACTAGGCCTCTAGCCCCAGGGACCTAGGCGAGGACAGGCACTCCTGCTTTTCCAAGAGCACCCTGGCCCGCCACGCCCCCAGCCTGGGCCTATAAACACCCACGACCCTAGCAAGGCAGAGACAGAAGCTGCTGGAGGGCGAGAGGAACGCATCAGTGGAAGAAGACAGAAGCGGCTGGTCACGGAGAGCATGTCAGCAGAAGAACACACCTACAGACGCCGGCTCGCCCGCGGGCTCCCCGGCAGGCCATCGACCGGTGGGACGAGGTGGAGTTTGTCCTGGGCAGTAGGAGGACAGCCCGGGCACCCAGCGGCCCAACTCCAGGGGAAAGCCATCTCCCTTCTGGAGCTGCCCAACTCCGGGGGAAAACCATCTCCTTTCTGACTCTCCTGTCGGTGGAGAGTTACTTCCACTCAATACGATTTTGCAGTCATTCTCCAAGCCCACGTGTGATCCGATTCTTCCGGTACACCAAGGCAAGAACCCGGGATACAGAAAGCCCTCTGGCCTTATGACAAGGTAGAGGGTCTAACTGAGCTATAGACCGTGAACTAAGAGCGCACCCTGGAACACACGCCCTCTGGGGCTTCAGCTGTAAACATCCACCCTTAGACACTGCCATGGGGTTGGAGCCCCACAACCTGCCCATCTCTATGCCCCACTAGAGGTATGACCAACGGGGCACTGAAGAGGCGAGCACACCCCATCGCACGCCCTGCAAGGGGGACGGGGGAACCTTTCCCATTTCAACACCACCGCTGTGGCTGCATGTGGCTGCCATAAGAAAAAGAACCCATTCTTTGGCACAGCTGAAGCAGGACTCTTCTCGTTGTTCTCCAGGTAGGTTCCTCCCCGTGGAACTTTGTTATCCTCATCTGTGTTTTGCCTGGGGCACCTCCTTCAGGTAGCCAGTTCCTTGTTGGACTTGCCCCAGGGGTTAGATGGCAATTCAGGTGGTTCCTGCAACCCAGAAGCAGGACAGAATCTTGTGCGACAGTATTTTGCCTAACTGCTTGAAGGCCCTTCATTCCTAGGGACAAGTTGACATCAACATTCAAATATAATGAAAATTGTTGAGCATCTTTCCTAGGCCACTAGGAAGGGAAAAATGCATGGTGCTACAAATCATTGGGTTTTACTAGCCAATGGGTAAGTGGGGAAAAGGAGTCTTTTTATTTATACTTGTTTGTTCTCCTCTAGATATTTCAGAAGATGTGTAAGATGACACTGAACCAATGGTATTACGTCCCTCTCTTAGTTTTTACTATTGAAAGTATTCCTCCTTCATATCATCTCAGAAAATACATAGTGATAGGCTTACGGTGACAGTTCTCTTTGGTCATGAGAGCAAAACGCAGAGCAGTGGAATTAAAGGACACCTGGAACTTAAGGCCTCTAATCAGGCCATGTAGATACAGGATGGTACATTTGGGGACATTCTTCACTCAGGTTTTTAAGGAAAACACATTATTTTCGAGGACATACACACAGGCGTTGTAAACAGATAAACAGTTTCCAATAAATGACTCTTTTGGGACCCAGTTTTAATGGTAAAATCAGTATGATGTTTATTTAACCGATGTTGTGGGTAAACCAGATGCCCTGCCTCTGGTATCCCTCAGATTCTCTTTCTCTTCTGTGTCCAAACACAGGGCTCCAGCCCTCCCCCTCCTTACACAGTGGGGATGTCAGCACCACAGCCTCCCTTTGCTTCTGTGCCTGGGAGGAAGGAAGATGCCTGCTCTTGTTCTTACCCCTGCCTCTCCCTCCATCTCTGGGTTCCTGTACCTCCCATCATAGTACTGTTTTGTTTTGTTTGTGTCATAATAGACACCACCCTGATCTCATTTAATCACCTAAAGGAAATCCTTAAGCAATGCAGGTGTCACAGATTTACTTTAAGGCTTCAAGGGTAAAGAAAGGGACTGAAACAAGAAGAGTAAATACAATAAAAATCTTGATAATAGGGTATAACTGTGTCTCCTTTGTTAGAGGGCAGGGTGAGCGGGGGGAGCGGGAGGTAACTCAGAGACAGAAAGTTAAGGGTGCAGACTCTAAGAAAGGCTCTGTCTTTCTTCCCACTCCCTCCTTCCATCCATCCCCTCCCCTTCCTCTCTCTTCCCTGCTCCTCCATCTCTCATCTCTGTTCCTAGAAGCTGCAACTTCAAGTCCACCATTTCTCCTTTATTTCTTTCAAGATATAAATTAACTGTTTTGCTAAACCACTTGTCACCATACCCAAAGCTTTATATGTTTTTCAACAACGTATACTCAAGTGGTTCCCTAAATAAGAGAGTTCGGAAAGTCTGAGATGAATGGAAATCTTCCCATAACATATGGAAGTAGGACAAAAATGATGCTTTACGACAGCAAAACAAACACAGAAATAAAATGTCCCATTCCTACGGGAACTAGTGCTCCTAGGTATCATCAGAAAGCTGGTTCTATTAAGTAGGCTCCCCATTTCCCTTTCCTTTTTATATCATTTTTAAAAAGCATGAAGTATTGCTAAATTGGAGTCAGCTTGGCAAAGTCTTACACTGTCCCAGGAGTTATAGGTATGGTATGCCATGACTATTTTAGACCGTGAAACACATTTTCTACTTTAGGAAATTACCATAGGTGTGAATTATGGTCCTAATATTCACTGTGAGTAGCAGTTGTTCTTTTCAGGTATCTCTATCTATAAAATGGGTACACGTCACATTTTCAAGTGGTATTTATAAATCACCGTGTTCTGGTTTGCACAAACCCTCCCGTGCTGCAGTCGACCTGATTTACTCGTTTGTTTTTGTCACTTCTCTGTTGATGCGGCCCCTGGAAAATTGCACAAATTCTGTTTTAATTGAACCCATGATCAGTGCTACAAAGGAGGGAAAAAGGGAAGGCCTGTTATGTAACAGATGAGTGTCACCTGGTTTCCTAGTTTCAGCCCTGAACACGTCTCCGAGTCACGCTGGAGGCGTAAACAATGGATAGGGCAGGCAGGTGAAACCCATCTTCCCGCCGAGCTTTACAGACTAATTTCAAGCTCCATCAAATCATGATTCATCTTTGCTTGGCGACGGACATATTATTCTGACTAAATACATTTGTTTCGAGGAGCTGCTATGCTTCGAAAATCGTGTGCACAAGGGCTGGACAGGACATTCCAGTTATTGTGAGGGTTTTAAAACTGGTGAAAAATGTGCCCGTGGCTAAGAATAATGCAAATCCTGATGTGTTAACTTTAAGCAACACGCTGAGCCGTGACAGCATTTAATTATTTAGCTGTGGTAAGGCAAAACGTTTCCAGGTCGGACATACTGCTTGACTTGACTTTCAGAAATTTAATGCTGCCTTTCCATAGAGTGACACCATTTGACAAGGCCAGGACACACGTCACCCAGCCTGCTCCTGCCTGCCCTGACCTCCTCCATTAATGCCCTTATTACTGATATAAAAGGGACACATTTAAATGTTTCACGAAGAAAAAGCTCCTGAAGCTTTCAGGAAACATAGCCCAAGGTCAAGGAAGTTTGCTTTAAGAGCAATCTGACCTCTCTTTCATCCTTTTTTATTTTTTTTTTAATTCCAAAAAATTACTTCATTTTTAGTACGCTTCTTTAAGTCTATAGTTGCTTCTCAGCTAAGTTAGATATCTCAATATTTTTATGAAAGCAAAGAAACAAGGCAGAGAGGGTCCTACAGTTTCTCTGCACAAAGCCACATGCTCTCTTATAGCTCACAAGTAAGATCTCTTTTTAAATAACAATAAACACTGTTGATTAGGCACCTTCTGTGTGCTAGGCTCTAGGCTGTATACCAAGTGCTTTAGGGATTTTGTCTCATTTACTTCTCAACTTTGTAATGAATTATATGGCTAACGTTGATGGAGAATTTATTATCTGCCAGGCATGCTTCTAAGACACGTGACTTGGCTGGTGCGGTGGTTTACGCCTGTAATTCCAGTACTTTGGGAGGCCAAGGTTGGTAGATCACTTGAGGTTAGGAGTTTGAAACCAGTCTGATCAATACAGAGAAACCCTTTCTTTACTAAAAATACAAAAATTAGCCTGGCGTGGTGATGTGTGCCTTTTATTCCAGCTACTTGGGAGGCTGAGGCAGGAGAATTGCTTGAACCTGGCAGGCGAAGGTTGCAGTGAGCTGAGGTCATACCACTGCACACCAGCCTGGGCAACAGAGAGAGACACTGTCTCAAGAAAAAAAAAAAAGGGGGGGGTGGGGAGAGGAAAAAGGAAAATAAAAATACGTGATTCATTTTTTAATCTTGTGAAGTAGATGACACGTTTTGGTTTCCTATTGTTGCTTTAAAAATTACTATAAACATAGATGCTTAAGAGAACACAAATATATCCTCTCACAGTTTTATAGGCTAGAAATCCAACACAGGCCTCCCCAAACTGAAACCAAGACCTTGGCAGTCTTGAGCTTCTGAAGCTCTGGGATGCATTAGCTTTGAACTTAATTTAGGCTTTTGGCATCATTGAGTTCCTTGAGACTGTAGGGCCGAGGTTCCATTTTCTTGCTGGCTGTCTTCTGGGGGTCTTTCTGAGCATTTAGAGGCCACCCATATTCCTTGGTTCATAGCATGGCCTCCTTCCTCCATCTCCATGGCAAGTCCAGACCTTCTCACACTTGTAAAATCTCCACTTTCTCATCTGTCTCATTTGAACTCTGCTTTCCTCTTCTGCTACATATCTTTGACTTACAAGCAGAGAAAGTTCCCTGCTTGTAAGAGCTCATCGATTATGTTGGGACCACCCAGATAATCCAAGATAATCCTTCTGTTTCAATTTCCGTAACCTTAATCACATCCGCAAAGTCTTCTTAGTGGTGTCACAGATCCTGGGGATTAGGACTTGGACATCTTTGGCCCCCAGTATTCTGCCAATGCACCATTAGTCTTCCAGATCTAACAAGGTTAGAAATGAGGCTAGCTATAAAACAATTGTTTGCCCATGAAAAAAGAGCTTATAAATGGTAGCACCAGAACAACACAGATCTCCCTTACCTCGTCACATATCCATCAGCAACCTGCAGCCCACAGAGTTTATTCAGTGCCTCAGTTCTCCAAATGCACATTTATATTCCGTTTCAAACATGGTTCCATTCCTGAGAAATCATCAGTCATCAAACACAGGAGGTGAATGGGCATCCAGTAGAAATATAGTCAAGTGTTTGGTAATGCAAACACACTATTATTTTTGACCAACATTTCTATCACTTAAAAATATTTGTAGAATTTCTTTTACAATAAGTTTTTTACCACATTTGTTCATTTTAGACATTTTAAACCAGCTCACAATGGCTGATGCAACATTAGCCTCCATGGGGCTTCACCAACTGTATTTATTACATTTGAAGACATATATGTGCTTTCAGTGGTTTTAATCTTTATAGCATTTAAATACTCTTCTGAAAAAGTAAAAATCTTAAGCTACTTGAATTCATTGTGCAAATAGATTAAGAGCAAGAGTCGTGATAAGACTGGGCTCAAACCCAGATTCTGTCACCTATTGGATGTGAGACTGTGAGCAGCTCACTTAGTCTCTTTTTATCTTTGTTTATCCATCTAGAAAAGGAGTGCAGTAAATAGTACCCAGCCCATAAGGTCATTATGAGAATTAATTGAATTTAGACAGATAGCATTTAGAACACTGCTTATCATGTGGCAAGTCACATGTAGGTGTTTGGTACTTTAGATGGGAAGGGGTTATTTTTACAATATTACTTTGTTCCCTAGCTCTACTGATTATTTTTTAAATTTCTAATCATGACTCAATATAATAATTATAGATAGACATTTTGATATTGTGTAGACATATGGAGGCAAATGTCGGGGTTATTGAAGTCATTCGAACTATTTGTTTCAATAATTAGAGGCTAAAATGGATGCTTTTGTAAGCTCTTGTTTTTGCTGTGTGTATGTGTGTATATATATTTCATTTTGTTATAGTGTTTATTTTTATTTGCTCTCGCATCACCTACCTGTTGCTCATTCCTGTTTCTTGATTTGCTGTTAACTTATCTTCTGTGGGTTTAGACACCAAATAGCCAATTGCACAATATTAATATTAATGTGCAAAATAACTTCTAAGATAGTAAGGTGCTAAGGGGCCTTCCTATGTGTATAGAACATGAGCTTCATGAGATTGGCTACTTTTGTTAGTTTTGTTTGATTTGGGCAGGTATTTCTACACTGTAAAAGAAGAGGCAGGAGAGGAGATTTGGAAGAATTTCCCCCTGAATCTGCATGTGATGGGAAATAGGAACACTCAAATTAATGATTCCTTCACAAGAGTGATTGTCCATGATGCTAGCCAAGAAAGCTCAAGTCTCACCACACTAACCTGTATGGTCATTCTCTTTCTGAACCCCCATCCCAATCACTTGCCGTAATTTGGATGGTATTAAGCAGTGCTCACCACAGTGTAGTATGTGCAGAATTCTTATTCACCTCATTGATATCACTAAGGCATGACTGAGTTATTGACATGTATGTGAATTTACTAATTGGTCTGCAACCAGAGGCCAGAACTAGACTGGAAGAGAAACGGATTCTGGTTAACACTTTACATAGACTAACATGTGTCTATCTCAAAGACCCAGTGACTGGCGAATGTCAAAGATCCTGGGGTTTAATGATCTTAGAGGTTTCCTGGTTTACTAATCTCACTTTAATCCTTTGGAAAAACTCTAAATCAAGGTAAAAGATAATTAGAAAGATTATGGAGTACTTGGCAGTTATGTTCTCAGTTCTACAATTTCCATTTTATTTTTACTCCATAAGTCATATTTTGCCAAATATATTAATCATGTTTGTTAATCAGTATTTACAAAATGAAATTTAATGAGTCTGCTTCTATTGATTTTCTCTTAGTCTAGTATATCAGAATTACTTTGGTGTTCTTATATCCTTTAATAAAGTTTTGAACATTTATATAAAAAAATTGAGACTCTGGGTATCATATTTTTCCAGAGAGATTTTATTTTAGTTTTGACCTGCCATTAGATTGGGTGCAGTTAACCTTCATCCAACCGTGGATTGAGTTGATTTGGGGTCTTACATCCAGTAGGTGATGGAATCTGAGCTCGAACCCAACATTCATTTTTGTCTTTATTATTTCTGGTTCACTGTTAACCCTAGGCCATAGCCATTCATTGCTCCCAATAGAGAGCCCAGGTTATTTGTATAAAGGCCCAACTTCTGGGTAGGCCTCAACACTAATGTTTGACCATGTTATAAGCACAACCTAAGCTCAGCTTCTTAGCCTTATAGAGCCTGCTTTCTGGTTGTGTTCTTACCACCTTACCCTGGTGAGTTTAAGAGATGGCAGATGTCTTACAGGCAAACAGAGGCTCAGTTTTGACTTATTCCCTATATTCTCCTTGTCTCTGGGATCACTGTCTGTCAAGAGTTGGTTGCCTTGGAAGGTCAGAACACCAATTCCTGTCTCTCAATCCTCTGTGGCTTCCAGCAGCTCTGCTGAGCTGTCACTTTGGGCTGAGCTTCTGCTCAGCCTCAGGGTCCTTCCCTCTTGCAGTCACAGTGAGAAAATGCTTCAAGGAGAAGAGTTTGGGCTTCATATCAATGAGTTTTTCTTTTCCAAAAGATCTTGTCTAAATCTTAGCTACCTTGGTATCTTCCTGACACTTTGAAACACTATTATTATTATTATTATTATTATTATTATTATTATTATTATTATTATTTGAGACAGAGTCTTGCTTTGTTGCCAGGCTGGAGTGCAGTAGTGCGATCTTGGCTCACTGCAACTTCCATCTCCTAGATTCTAGCAATTCTCCTGCCTCAGCCTCCCGAGTAGCTGGGACTACAGGCGCACGCCACCATGCCTGACTAATTTTTGTATTTTTAGTAGAGATGGGGTTTCACCATGTTGGCTAGGCTGATCTCAATCTCTTGACCTCGTGATCCACCCGCCTTGACCTCCCAAAGTGCTGGGATTACAGGCATGAGCCACCGCGCCCAGCCAAAACATCATTATTTTTAAATTCAGCTTTTGTAGTTGTTCCCAGCGGCAGATTTGGTTCTCTGCAAATAAATCCATCAAACTGAAAAAAAAAAAGTTCTCTCCCTACAATTGCAGTAAACGTTTTCTCTCATCCAATACCTAGCTCATTGATTCTTTTATTTTTATTTTTATTTATTTGTTTGTTTTTCACATTTCTCTGGTTTAGTTAGACTGATGCATATGTCTCCCAGCCTCTCAAAGGTTAATTCTGAGCAGAGAGTCTCAGAATCAGTATTGGATGCACATCTGAAAAAGAAAAAAATGCTTTCTCAATCATCTCATTCCAAATACAGTCATAGCATTTGGAACTACATGTTTATTTCAGCTCCTTCAATGAGTCTATAAGAAGCTAATTTTCACTTTGATTTTAGGGCAATAAAACACATCAAGTAACTTTTCCATCTTCAACAGAAGGTTTTTCATTAACATCTGCAAGAAACATTTCATTGGCATCTAAAGTGGTCCTTAAACCAGGGCCTAGTGAAAGGCAGGAAAATTCTTCAGTGATTAACATTAGCATTTTTTTCTCAACTGAAACACTCCTGGAATTGGAGAAAATGCCATTTAAATTTTAAGGGTTTGTTTCTGACAAAGTGGTGCAGGAACAGCAACTCAAAACCTGCAATGCCGCATGTTTTCTAATTCATGTCACAGCAGTCACCCTCTTCAAGTAGCTGTGCCCATGACTTCATAAAAGGAGCCAAAAATGCTGATTCCCCATTACGTTAGGTTTATCTTTTCAAAACCCAGAATCTAGAGTCAAATAAAGTCAAGTAGAGGCATCAATTTTGTTTTCCATTCAGAGACACTGTTTGCAAACTACAGTTGTGAATGCATTTATATCCAGATGGAACACTTGATGTTGAAGAGCTAGATTTGGTACACTCAGTTGGATTTTGGCGCAGATAATTTCCATATTCCCTGCATCCAGTTTCCCCTATTTATTTATTATTTTTGAGGCAGGGTCTTGTCTTGCCCTGTCACCAAGCTGGGTCTTGCTCTGTTGCCCAGGCTTCGGTGCAGTGGTGCGATCATGGCTCACTGTAGCCTGGACCTCCCAGGCTCTGGTTTTTCTCCCATCTCACCCTCCTGAGTATCTGGGACTGTAGGTGTGCACCACAATGCCCAGCTAATTTTTATATTCTTTTGTAGAGACAGGGTTTGTCATGTTGCCCAGGCTGGTCTCAAACTCCTGAGCTCAAGTGATTCACCTGTCTTGGCCTCCCAAAGTTCCAGGATTAAAGGCGTGAGCCACTGCACCTGACCTGGTTTCCACTATTCTAATTGCCTTTTTAACTGATGATATCTGATTGTACTTCTGCCCCTGTATCATTTTTTTCAAGTGGAGAAAATAAAATGTTTTAAAATAATAAAAACTGGAATTGAAATATAAAATGTCTGATGAATATCTGTTTGAGTTCTGGATATTTAAAAACCTTTTATTATATAAATTAAACTGAAATTGTCAATTAGTTCAGGTTTCAGTCATCACTAAAATTATACCTGGGCATTAGTTCTGTTTTGGAGTAGATTTAATGCTTTGGAGCTGCCTGATGAGAGAGATGATTGCTTCATTCTCTTGTTCCAGCACTTTGAAGCATTATTAACTCTCCCCGAAAATGACCACAGTCCTCTTTTTTGCTGGTAGAAAGATCAGTGTCAATTTTTTAAAATGCCTTATGAAAATTATAGACGCAAATAAATAAAAGACATCATGGGTTCAAATTGGAAAATAATACTAGAAGCAGACAGGAAAAAAAGCACAGATTGTTTTGAAGAAAAATTTACCAAAGTGATACATGATGGAACATTCGTGTTATCAGGTTCTCAAACTATTCCACTTTTACGAACTTCCAAAAGCACTGTTCCATCCCAGAGCTATCTGTGCTTTGTAATATCCCGGTTTATGAAACTGGTCACTGGGTGGTGTCTCTGGGGCAGCGCTCTCATTCACTGTGTCCTCTTTGAACTTGGGTGCAAAGGGAAAAGCATGGGTTGTCCTCCTGGAAGGATTCTCAGCCTCTGCCTTGCAACTGATGCAGGATTGCTGGTACTCCAGTGCCTCCTCCAAAGTGATGGATGGCACTTACCATCCTGCAAGACCCAGTTTGCAGGTGTCACCTGCACCAGCCCATCCACTATTAGTCATATTTGTCTTATCCCTTAACTTGGAACCTCTGCGTAGCTCCTGAATGTGCCTGGGTCTCCATGGCAACCACAACAGAAAATCAGGGCAGGAGCAAGGGATTCAGGGCCCATTTGTTTATGATGATTTTACCTAACTCACTGAAACGTGGAAATACAAGTGCTTGTTTGCAAAAAAAATCAATAGCTTTTTTTCCTTTTAAAAAATATTGCCCAAAAATGTTTCCTGTTGGTCACAGGAAAACAAGACTGGTGTCTGCTCAGCCAGTCCCATGACTCATTGCATTGAGTCTAAGGTAGTGTGTATGTGATGAACAGAAAAAGTAAGTAATTTAATGCATCTAATATACAAGCATGATGTGATTGTTGGAAAATAAATATAATAAAAATGTATATGTAGTATTATTCACCAATAACACAACCACAAAATGAAAGGGGTTCCTCTTTTCCCACTATCCCACTCCCTCAGGATGACTACTGCTAGCATGTCAATGTCAGTGCCCAGCCTTCCAGGCCCAAATTAACGGTTAAAACTCGAAGCATATAGTGAACAGGTCCAAGAAAGGAGCACTTGCAAAGCGTCACACTAAAGACACTGAAGACATCTGCAGTCGGTTTTCCCTCTGCCTGGAACATATTCTCTCATGCCTTTGCTTCACTGAAATCTCTGCTAAAATATTGTTTTCATAGAAAGAACTTTCCTGACCATCGTAACTAAAACAGCAACTCTTCCCCCTCTAGTTACGAGTAATTTGTATGTTTTTTTTCTGTTTCTCATTCCTTCAGAGCACGATCGTTTCCGAAAAAGTTATTACATCATTGTTTATGTATTTGCTTCATTAACCAGCTTTCCCTAATTGAATATAAGCTTCAGAAGAACAGAGACTTTGCCCCTTGGGGTCAGAGTTATATCACAATGTCACTGTATCAGTCACAGACTAGGACCTCAAAATGCATTTATTAAATGAATGAATAGATGGATAAATGGTAATCACCTGCTAAGCGAGTCTCTTCTCTCATATCCTGTGCTTACATTACAGCAGACGTTTCCAATCACTTGCAGCATTTTGCTTTTTCCACTTGGTCAGCCCAGCATTTGGGAACTCTTCTCTACCTATTACTCCAAGAAGCTACTGGCAGGTATTGGAACTGCTGCTCTGTAAGAAAACACCTGTTCTCCTGATCTGTGGCCTAACTTCGCAAACTACAGATCCTTGATATCAATAGATCACATGCTAATAAGATTGTCAAAGCAATTTCTATTTTCTTTCATTGCTTTCCAAAGCAGACTCACCTTCAGTCTCCATGAGATCAAGAAGGAACAGTGCAAAGGTGCATGGGATGATAATGGACCCGTTGCCAGTTTTAGAATCTGGTTCCCCAACTTGCTAGCATCTTTTTGCTTAAGTTTACTCTAAAATTGGGATGATAGAACTTCATACAGTTGAGTTGTGAGAATTTAATGGTAATAAATGTAAAGCACTTGGAAGTCTGTCACATGGTAATTTTATATGTTTATTATTATTTTGAGACAGGGTTTTGCTCTTTTGCCCAGGCTGGAGTGCAGTGGCACGATCTCTGCTCAGTGCAACCTCTGCCCACCGGGTTCAAGTGATTTTCCTGCCTCAGCCTCCCAAGTAGCTGGGATTACAGGCACCTGCCACCACACCCGACTAATTTTTGTATTTTTAGTAGAGATGGGGTTTCGCCATGTTGGCCAGGCTGGTCTCGAACTCCTGAACTCTGGCGCTCTGCCCGCCTTGGCCTCCCAAAGTCCTAGGATTACAGGTGTGAGCCACTGCACCTGGCCTATTATTATTATTATTGATGTTGTCGGTGTTGCTATTTTTATTGTGTTTTAATGTTCAATAACAAGGATCCGTATTATTTCTTCATCCATATCACCCAATACATAGCTTTTCTCTGCTGTTAATATGAACATCAAGTGTTACAGTTGTAAGTTCTAAAGGAAGTAGATTTCAAATGTTTTGACCACAACTCACATAGAGAAACACATTTTATATCTCGACCAATACATATGTGCACACAGCCATGTGTACACACACATATACTAAAGCAAAATTTCTCAGATATACATTTACCCTCCTTACCTGCTGCAATGTTGTCAAATATTTTCCATTCCATTCTATTCTGTTTGGCTCTGTTATCTTTTATTCTGACATAGCATATTCCATCTGATTTACAAAATAAATGTTAGTTTCAACCCACTAACTTTATTTCACAGCACTGCTGTGCTGTGACCCGTAGTTTGAAAGACGCTACCTTAAAAGCAGACCTGGACTTATAGAGAGGCAACACTGATTAGTTGTTTACCTGGTCCTCCTACCTGCTTTCTAAAGCCTGCATCAAATTTCCTATATTCAATTTTTATTTTTCCCCTCTGATTTCAGATTATTATATTTCTATAAACTTATTGGTTAATTTTAAAATTCTAACAGATTCTTAGGTTTATCCTAGAAAATTTTGTGCATAAAATGCATATATATATTTTTAATTTGTTTTCTGGTTTCAGGATATGTTCTTATTGATAAATTCTAATATTCAAAGTGTCTTTTAAAATCACTCTTACAGAAAAAAAAAAAACCCTCAATTCTCGGACTTAGATAATGTTTTCTGGAAAAAAATGGATAGAACAAATGGTCATTAGAACTTTCCACCAGGGAAGCATATTAGACATGACAAATACAATTTATTTCAAACATTTCCAAGGTTAGTTAGGCAAAAATAATAGTTGTGGTTATTGTTTTTTATTTGAGAAATGAATTAAAAAACAAAAATATGCAAGATATATTAATATATGGAAACTAATTCACACAATTAAAATGATTCCTGTTTAAATCCAGTTCTGCATATACAATTGAATGATTTTGGACAAGTCTTTGAAGCTTTCACTCTCTCAGAATCATGATATTCAAAATAAAGATGTGATTTCTACTAAATAAAGTTATTATAACAATATAATTTTATTGGCTATATTGTAGAGAAACATAGTGTTCTTGGGAGAAAGAAGACATTCACATAAAACCTTCATGAATCATCTAATTAGTTTTTTAAAGCTAAAGGGCCTGAAATATTTTATTTCCACAAAAGTGTTTATCTAGGACTTCAAGTTTTGAGCCATGCTAAGCAGTTTACAAGATGAATTGTTAAAGCATCTGCCCTCCGAAAATTTTAGACTTTTAATATCAATTTGGTCATTTTATACAATAAAAAACATCTCACTTTCATCTGTTTTTTATATAAATTATTACATTATTATTATTTAATAAAACATAACAATTAGGTTGCTTCAGAAATATATTAGCTTTCACTACGAGTTATTCTCTGTCAAGTACAATTTAGACTATGAGGAAAGGTTGTATCAGTAAAGAGACCTATTCATTTAATATTGAAAGAAACTGATACTGATGCACCATAACTTGGGCTCCAAGAATAACATTTCACTGAGGCTGTCCTTTATATTTCTATATTTTTGGTACTAAGGAGAAGAACCACATTGTAATTCTACCTTCATAAAGAAGAACTCCATTAGGAAATAGCATTCAACATAAGAAATTTCACTTTACAACCAGATTTCGTATAACTCATTAACTTTTATTGAAAATGCCTAAGGAATCCTTATATTTAAATGTAAAAAGAAAAAAATAAAAGCAGAATTGATAAAATCTTAATGAGGCATTCACAAAAGAAAGACATTTCCCTGGAGCAATTTAAAAGCAATTATTTCTTGAGCAGCAGAACTGTAAGAACATTAATTTCCAATGGTGACAATTCCATGACTAGTCATAAAGGTCAGGGGATTGTTTTGCTGCTGAAGGTCACAAACAAAAATTTATTTTAAAGTAGTCGTAGAAAAGCCTTCACTGCATTTCACTACGACAATGACATCTGCTCCACGTTCACTCTAGCGTTCTCTTCCAAGTGAGAAGAGGCATTGTTTAAATCCAGGTAGTATTTGGGCTAAGATCAAATGCTCAGCGGAAAAGGTGACAAGTTGTGGGTATTGCAATGGAAATGCATTAGGGAAGTATGTTAGCAGAATAATGTACTCTAAGTTTTAATCCCCAGAATATACTAATATATTGTGTTACATGTCAAGGGGGAAATTAAGGGAAATGGAATTAAGCCTGCTGTAGAAAGTAAAAAGTTTCCTCTTCAATGTTCCCCCCTGTTAAAGAATAAATCATAATTGTTAGAAATAATAGTTTATTTTAAAGACTAACTTTCTTCAAGCCTCCTTGCTTTGTGCTAATAACTCTTTTTTAAGCCCTATCCTATGTAATTGTCGGACATGCTCACAGGCACATCCCAGCTCACATCCTGTGCCCCTTCCTTATTTCGAAATGTTATTGCTTCCTTAAACCTTTCGTAAGCAACTTCCTCTCCTTTGTTCTTTCTTGCACTTACCTATGTAGGAAAGTTTTAGGCTATTAGCAAATCGGGTATCAGTTTCAGACTGTGAGGTCCCGCTCCAGCCAATGGATGCAGGACACAGCAGTAAGGACGACCCAAATGCGTAAGGGATAAATATGTCTGCTTTTCCTTTGTTCAGGTGTGTTCTCGCCATGGTTCCATCTGCGAATGAGCACCCTTTCTGTAGAAAGTAAAGATGGCCTTGCTGAGAGGTCTTTCGTCTCCGTACTGACTTTTCTTCGTGGCACCAATTACTTATTTCTAACAATTTTGATATTTCTAACACCTGCTAATCAGCTGATACTAAAAGAGGAAGATTATCCTGAATTATCTGGGTGAACTTAGCATAATGACCATGGTCAAGTAACTCTTTGAAAGAAAATTAAAATAATGTGGATGGGAGAGGGTGCAGAGTTGGGTCAGAGTGAGGAAATATAAGAAGGATTTGAGTGCCTGTGTCTGGCTTTGAAGGTGGACAGGACCACAAGCCTCAAAAGGCAATTTGTAGAAGCTGAAAAATACACAAAAAAATCATTCTCCCTTGAATCCTCCGTAAGTTTCACAGGCATTCTGACACTTTGATTTTAGGGCAAAGAGACTCATGTATGGCTTCTCGCCTACAGAATTGTAAGATAATCAATTTGTATTGTTTTCGGTCACGAAGATTGTGGTGATTTCTTACAGCAGCACCAGAGAACTAATTTAAGAAGTTTCACTGGAAAATCTACGGTGATTAATAACATTTGAAATAAACATACTTTTGAGCATTTATTTGGCAATGAAATGCTCAAAAGTATGTTTGTTCTTCATTTCTTTCCTCCTCCCCTCCCCTCCTCTCCTTCCTTCTCTCTCTCTCTTTCTTTCTCTCTCCCTCTCTTTTAAAATATTTGTTTCCCCAGCATGGGAAGTAAATACAGCACACTGAGTTTTGATGAATCTGTGTTATTCATGGTTGCCCCACCACCTGGACTGCTGTTATTGATCACTATATTTCAAAGCTAGTATAGACATAGATACATGTTTTATTTCCTGTGACCAACTCACTACTCACACAGTGTCTATTGTTCAGCCTCTGGCTGGTTTCTCTTCCCTAATAAGGGTGCTTATGGGACTAATTCTTCTCTGGGCAACAAGTTGGAGGCCCTGCGGTCTAGGCAGATACAAACATTTCTATTAGGGCTCTTTGCGTTTTGCTCAGTGATCTCAGGTATATGCCTTTCCATACACTAAACGCAAAGTATTCCTTCAAGGCGTTTGCATTCAGTCTGAATAAACTCATTTGTGAAAAAGATGTCGTTAAGTATTTTTCAATAAAATTTAGGTTCTTGTGGAAGCTATTTTAGACAAGAATACCAGAACATAGTATCTCAACTCAGAAGTCTACTCCGTATTTAAAAATGGTGCCATATTTAATTACAAATCCTCAGTAGGTCACTCAGCTGTAAAGCAAGGAATATAATTTACTTTCAAAGTTATTTTTTGGCTTTGGCAAAACATTGGATACTTAGAGTCCAATTTTCACTAGCAGGGATGAGTGATGTTTCTCTTTACCACTTTCATAGAGGATGGGAAAGAAAAATAAAATGTATTGATCTCCCTTCCTTCCTGCCTATTCATGTTTTCAAGAGATGTGTGAAAAACAGTGCTTGAATTTTTTTTTGACAATTCTGTGCTTCTGATCAAGTAAAAAACTCCGAGCAAAAATGGAAGCTGTTGTTAAGTCCCAGTCACACATAACATTAATAAATACATTTTAGAAATTGTGAATAAGGATACGTTTGGTGAGATTTAGTGTTTCATCTAATAAAATGGTGTTCATTTAGAAACGTGTTACTCATTTAATAGAAATGGAAAAGACCATCCACCTGGAAATTATTATTTTATTCACTACTTAGCCAATAAAAGTCTCTTTGTTTTCCCATTCCATGGTAAGAAAAAGTTATTAAAAATTATCAACATGCAAAAAGATATAAAAATAATGTAACAGGCAAATATGTATTCAACACTTAGCTCAAGGAAAATATAATAAAAAGCACAGAGGCTGTTAAAGACCCTTTTCACGCTTCCAAATTGCATTTTGCTTTTTTCCTTTCAGAATTAAAAGATGTTCTGAATTTGGTGTTTGTTTCTTGGTATTTCATTATGCTTTTAATCAGTAAGAGAAATCAAACCTCAGTAAAGAATCACCATGGGAAAAACACTTCACATGTCCAGTGCGATTGAAGTAGACTGTTCCCTGTCACCTCTCTCTCTGCTCTATTAGAGCTGTACTGAGAACTCGCCACAGCTCCAGCCCCCTGGCTTATCTCCACCTGAGGAACAGGAACTGACCCCTTACTCAGCCAGTCACTTGGCAAACAGGCTTCTCTTTTGCAGCTGTGTCCACCAGGGGACCCTGAAGAAGACATAGGACAATGCTTTTTGGGGAAAATGCAGTTCTAAAACCACTAAAAAAATTATAAATGGTGAAATGTTAACATCATGAGGTCTACAGAGCAATGCTCGGTTTAGTCATTCAAGATTAATTTTAGTCACAATTTTGGGAAAAACTCGTTTACTTCCATCCACAGTCCACAACCCAAGGCTATCAGTGAGTCTTCTTTTGAATGTGTGTGAGGAGGTCCTCCTTCCTTTCTTCCTTCCTTCCTTCCTCTCTTGGTCTCTGTCTCCCTCTTGCCTCTTTCTCCTTCCTTCACTCTTTCTGAGTCTCTCTTTTTCTTCTTTTCTTTTTTTTCTTTTTCTTTCTTTCCTTCCTTCCTTCCTTTCTTTTCTTTCTTTCTCTCTGCCTTTCTTCATTCTTTTTTTATTCTTTCTCTTTCCTTCCTTTTTTTCGTCCTTTATTTCTTTCTCTCAGTCTCTCTCTCTCTCTCTCACTCTCACTCTTTCTTCCTGTCTTTATTTTGCAACAGAATCTGAGCCTGGACATCAAGAATAAAGAGATCTGTTTAACAGCCATGAGGGAGTGCACGGATGCATGGAGAGCCAGGAATGGTCCACAGCAATCAATGCTGCAGGAATGAATTTGTTTAAATGGATTTTTTTTCCATTTCATGAATAACTTTGTTCAAGCCTTTGATGTTCAAGCTTAGGAAGAAAGAATCCCAGTGATCTATTTGGATCACATGATTTTCCCCTGGCCTTTTCCACCTGTGTAGAGAGAGTTTCATCTCCAAAAGGGCACACAGTCCTTGTTACCAAAAGGAAGGGGAATAGACATTGGGTGATCAAAACACAGCTACGCTTTCTAGAAGTTGATAAGTGAATAGATACTAACATGATAAATCAACCTCAGTATTTTTTAAGTCTATGCCAAGAATTAAACTAGATAATGATTTTAATAATAACTGACAATCGAGTGTTTACTACATGCCAGATCCTGTTGTTAAGGGCTTACCATGTATGGACTCATTTAATGTTCACGACTACTCTCCTTGGTAAATATCTGCTTTTATTCCCATTTTAAGGTTGAGGAAACTGAGACAGACAGGGAAAGTGAGAAAGAGATGGCTCACACAGTGAATGAGCAGCCAGAACTCAGGTCCCAGGAATATGGTTTCAATGTCCATTTTCTCAAGGATTATTGTGCAGAAAAGCATTTTGACACTCAGAGATTGGTCAAGAGCTCAAATGTCAACATCAACCCTACAGCCTGTTAAAAATTGATCGCCCCTATAGGGAATATTGCCAGAGCACACAGGCTTACTCTGTCCTGATGATGTGGAATTATTTTTGCTTGCTCCCATGAAAACCATGCCTAGCCATGGTGTGGGTTTGTGACATCTGTGTGACAAATGGGAGCTTGTGTCTTTAATGCAAGACCACCACCAGTGTTCCACCCCAGTGAAGCTCACCACCCAGAATTCTTGTTAGGGAACCAGGCCGGGAGGCACAAATGGGTTCTTCCAAATCATTTCCAGTGAAGATACTAAGCTATCCATGGCGTGAACTATAAGTCAGCAATGACGAATTCCAAGCTGAAAGATTTACCCTTAGCCTCAGAGATGCATGATTTACTCAGCTAACAATGCTTTCAGCCTATTAGTCCTCTGGCGCTGTAGTGTACTCTGGCACTGGAGCATTTCCTGGGGAAGGAAATCATATTTTGCTTTCATAATTAGCTGATTTGGAGCCCAGGCAATGGGAGAAATAAGAAAATAATGGAGACAATTGATGCAGGCAGGCAAGCCCCAAAATTGGGGCTTAGCCCAGGAAGGTTATTGGCTTCACCCAGAAATAACTCAAGGGTGAGCCAGTGGTGTGAGACAGCAACATTTATTGAAGCAGCAGAGGTCTTGCTCCTTGCAGAGCAGGGCTCCCCCATAGGCAGTGTGCCCAGAATATCAGTTCAGAGGCAGCTCCGCAGTCATATATGTACCCATTTTAATTAAATGCAAATTAAGGGACAGATTATGCAGAAATTTCTAGAAAACAGGTGGTAACTTCTGGGGGAGTCATTGCCATAGAAAGGGACGGTAATTTCAGGGTGTTGCCATGGCAATGGTAAACCGACACAGGCACACTGGTGGGTGTGTCTTATGGAAAGGTGCCTCTGCCTCGACCTATTTGAGCTA
The DNA here is from genome assembly GCF_000001405.40 of Homo sapiens. Classification (NCBI taxonomy): domain Eukaryota; kingdom Metazoa; phylum Chordata; class Mammalia; order Primates; family Hominidae; genus Homo; species Homo sapiens. The sequence goes on from NW_019805499.1 coordinate 26,205, forward strand.
GTCCTCAATTTGGTTCAGTGTCCAAGCCCCGCCTCCTGAGTCCAGTCCTGCCTCCAACCTCAGTATGACCATGGTTGTTTCCTGGGTGTCTTTAGGATTAACAGGGAGCACATGGGGAGTCACTGCTTCATCACTGTAAACTACACTCAGCTGGAAAACTGAGCTCTGGAACACGTGTTTGTGTTCTGGAAAAATACAGGTGATGGCACTTGAAACAAAAGATATTTGAAAACTACTAGGAAGACAGGCTGGAATAAAATTCATTTTCCAATTCTGCTTTATCTTAATACATATATTAGGTTTCCTAAAAAATAGGAATTTTTATTCCTATTTAAATTTTTTTATTATGTATGCACTTTTTTGAGAAACTATCAGCAACTCAGCAGATCTCGGGAAAAAAATTCAGTCAAAGATATTTATCAACTGCCAAATGTATAGAGTGTTTTTTATTTGATTTTTAAATACAAATTTTATTCTTTTTTAATGTTCTGTGATGTTAAAACAGAAACGCAGACACATGCAGAAAAGAGACATTTCTCCTGGATCAGTGATTCTCAAACTTTGCTATATATTAGAAACACCTTGTGGAGAGGGGTGGGAACAGGCAACAGTGGTTTTTGTTTTCTGTTTTTTTAAAGCCTCCCAGGTAATGCCAGTGTGCGACCAATTTGAGAATCAGAGTCCTGGATGTTAGGCTCTGGAGAAGTGCTTCTCAAACTTTTGTATATAGTATCAGAATCACCTTGAAAGCTACCAAAAAATATGCGTGCCTCCCCTCTTTGAAGCAGGTTGAGGCTCAGGGTCCCACAGTCTCACCAAGTTCCCAGATGATTTGATACATACCAAGTTTGAGGGCCATCGTCACAAGTGATCAAAACCTGGATTCACATCAGAGTCAACTGTGGAGATTTTAAAATATAGTCATCTCCCATCCTGGAGGATTCTAATTTAGTTGAGCAAGATAGAGCCCAGGAATATTTAAGTATCATCTTTTTTATTGAAACAAGATACGTTTTTCAGACAGGTACATAAATCAAATTATATATGGACTATGATAAATTTATACAAGCAAACCCAACCGTATATCCACCACCAAGACCAGGAAACATCATAAGAACTAACCAAGTCCCCCAGTGAGTATCTCCAAAAGAGTAATGACTATTCTGACTTCTACCACCAAGTGACTTGGCTTGCCATTACCTTTATGCAAACAGTAACACACAGTGTGCACTCATTGTTACCAGGCCTCTTTTGTTCAAGGTTAACTTTTCAAAATTCTTCTAATTATTGCAGGTGACAGTAGTTCAATAATTCTCGTGATAGAACCACACCTCATATTAGGAATGCTCCCTATCATTATTGGACATTGGGTTGTTTCTTGTTTGGGGCTCTAGTGAATGTTGCAAAGGAATGGTTTTGTACATATAATCACAATATTCACTATGAATGTTTTTGTGCATGTCTTTTGTTCATGTCTTTTGTACATGGTTTTGTGCATGTAGTCAAAGCATTCACTTATGAATGGTACCTGTCTTTTGATTCACATGTGTAAGCATTTTTGTAAAGTGGAGTCAAATTCCACTAAAGAGTTGACTTTCTGAGTCATGGTGCATGCTCATTTTTGGCCATAGTGGATGCTGACAGAGAGCTTTCCAAAACACCCCAGCCATCTATGAGAGTTCCAGTGGCTCTATGTCACCACCAACACTTGGCATTTTTAATCTCTTCGTTTTAGCAACTCCGGTGGGATGCACATTGGCACCACCCTCTCACTGTATTTTTATCAAACGTTATTGACATTTTGGATTAGTCTCTCCTGCAATCTGCAAACAGTGGCAGAGTTATCTCTTTCTTTCCAATTGTTGTATCTGTTAGTTCTTATAACTCTGGGAAAATACTGAGTAAAGTCGTGATATCAGGCATCCTTCTCTCATTCCTCATAATAGGCAGAACAATGTCAATATTTCCTCAATTGAGTAAGGTTCTGTTTCATATGTTTTGAACAAGTTTTTTATACATTTAAGGAAATTTCCTTCTGTTCCCAGATAGCTCTGAGTAACTGATCATACTGGGTTAAATTTTATTAAATGTTTTTCTCCTTCAGTGAAAGAATCATGTTCTATTTGTTTGCTTAATTCTGTTACTGTAGTGATTATATTGACAGGCTTTTTAAACGTAAACTAACCTACCATTTCCATAATAAAGCCAACCTATTCTGTTGCCCAGGCTAAAGTGCAATGGCGCAATCTCAGTTTACTGTGACCTCCCTCTCCCAGGCTCAAGCGGTTCTCATTCCTCAGCCTCCCCTCCCGAGGAGCTGGGATTACAGGTATGTGCCACCATGGCTGACCAATTTTTTATTTGTGCCTTTAGTAGAGACGGGGTTTTACCATGTTGGCCAGGCTGGTCTCGAACTCCTGAGCGCAGGTGATTTGCCCGCCTCGGCCTCCCAAAGTGCAGGGATTACAGGTGTGAGCCACTGCACCTGGCCCTGAACTCTTTTTATAGTGTTTTTGCCATGTGTTGGGACCAAGGTTATGCTGGACAATAGAGAAACTGTGTACGTTTTTCCTCTTTTACTGTGGAAGAGTTGATGTGACATTGATGTATTTTTTTTTTTCTACTATCTGGAAGCTTTCTAAGCCTGGGTATATTTGTGGAAGAGTGTCGTAAGACACTCTCGTTTTTTAATATAATGTTTATTTTTCTTTCTTCTGTTTTTTTCTTTCCACATTTTTATTCTGATTAGCCTAGCTGCCAAGTTATTTGTATTTATTTTCCTTGCCATTGTAGGATTTATTAAAATTGAAGCAAAATTTATTTAATTAGTTTCGGGAGACTCTCAGAATCTCCTCTAATATTCTTCTCTATTCTCTTTTCTAATTTTGACACTGATTACACACATTTGTCAGGCTATTTCTCCATTCCAAAAATGTTTTTATATGTTTAATGTCCATTTAAACTATGTTTTTATGTTTGATTCCTCTCTGTTTATATTTCCATCTGACCATTTTCTACTGGCCTGTATTCCCAATCATTAATCATCATCTTAGTTTTGCCAAATACGCTGTTAAGCCCACATATTTGTTTATTAATTAAAATCTTGTATATTTTAGTAATAGAATTTCATTTGAATAATTGTATAGAGTGCTCTTTTCTGTTAAAATTTTTCATCTCATCATCTATGTTACTGAATATGTTTATGAGGGTTTTTAAATAATATTTTATTTTTCTTGTGTTTGGTAATTTCCTTTGGTAAACCTGATAGTTTTTAAAACAAATCTTTAATAAGACTTTTTTTTTGAAACGGCTTTGCATGAGCTTAGCTTCTGGGAAGCAGTTAGTGTGTATGTATGCAGGCTGCATTTGTTTTTCTATTATCTGATTAAGAAGACTTGAGGCTTGTGTTCAGTTTTTGTAAGTCTTGAGGGATTATTTTTTCTTGCTTATAGGATGCAATCTTTTAGTATAAAGCTTGAGTCATTTACCGGGGCTATGTTTCTTGCTGAGTTCTGAACCCAACTGTTTTTCCTTCCACATTTAGGGATTGCAGAGGCTCTGCTGACTCCTCAGCCTCCTAACTGCTGCTTCCTACTTGATTCTTTTGCCTCTTGGTCTTTATTTATTTATATAAATTTAATATTTTATTTATTTATTTATTATATATAAGGAAGTATCTTGAGCATCAAAGGAGTTTAGAGATTTCCAGGTTCACTTTTCCTTCCTAACTGATAGGTTGGCTACCCTTAACTGTACATTCAGCCTTCCCAGAACTGTAAGATCAGTAAAAGCTCTGCCTGGCATTTGCTGCATTTTAGTTTCACTTTCTATTTAGCATCTCGGGTTTCTACTCTTCACTGCTTATGAGTCAGCAAATATCGCAATGATAAGGCAGAATCAAACGCTGGGCTCACCTTGAAGTGCTTCCTTTCTCTCCTAGGGACAATGTTTCTCAAAACCTGAGGAAACAAGATAGCTTTGCAATGCTTTAAACAAACGTTATTTCCTTTGGTGCTTTACCAGTTAATTAATGTAGTTGTTCTAAATGGGAGGGTTGATCTACTGTAAACTGACCCATCACCACAAAACTTATGTTTTCTGAGAACTGTAATTTTCTAAATCTCCACAAATAAAAATTCCCCTATTTGAATGCATCTCTGCATTATTTTGTCTTCTTTGTGTTCAATTATGGAGCTAGAAACCTCCAAAGAGTTTAATTAAAATTAATCTGAACTTATTTGGGCGTAAGGGACAGCTCACAGATGAGAGGATAAAGCGAGAGTATAAATGACACCAAAAATCATTTTTTAATTCTATTTTGGGAAAGAATATGGTCTGCATTATTCCATACTAAGTTCAAAGACCTATGCCATTCCATAGAAACAAACTGTGTCGCATCCACACAATTGAATATTGTTTAGCAATAAGAATGAGTTTTCAGGCCACAAAAAACATATAGAGGAAACTTAGATGCATGTTGCTAAGTAAAATGAGTCAATCTGAAAGGCTGTATACTGTCTGATTCCAACTATATGGCATTCTTCAAAAGACAAAACAAGGCAAAATGACTAGTGGTTCCCAGGGTTGGGGGGTGGGGAGCGATAAACAAATGGAACACAGGGAATTTTTAGGGCAGTGAAACTATTCTGTATCGTGCTATAGTGGTGGATACATGACATTATGTAGTTGTCAAAACCTGTAGAATGTACAACACCAAGAGGGAACCCTACTGTAATGATGGACTTTAATGAATAATAATGTATGATTATTGGCTCACCCACTGTTAACAAATGTACCACATCAATGCAAGACGTTTATAATAGGGGGACCTGGGAGGGGTGAGGGAGTCTGTGCAAACTTTCTTTACATTCTACTCAACTTTTCTATAAACCTATAACTGCTCTTAAAATAGTATATTTAGAAAGGAAGGAAAACAACTCCCAAAAACAATAAGTACTATACTCACAGTATTGCACTATGCAATTAGTCATAACAATATAATTAAATCTTTTCAAGCTTGGCATTTTATAAAATTCCTCTGGATTTAGCTGTTAGGTTTGTATTATGCCACTCGAAGTGGGTTTTTTTTTCTATTTTTTTTTTTTTACAACAGCATTAGCTAGGCAAACAATGAAATACATCCTGGTATTTTAGGTAAAAGAGCACATCTGCATGTATTAAACACTCCCAGGATGTCAATCAAGATAGGAAACCACTTGAGATGGAAGAGATGGAATAAAATGATTTTCACAGGCATCCTCAATTGTCTGCAGCTTTATTGGAACCTAGTTTTGATTGCTGGGATTACCCTGAGCAATTAATTGCTTCTTTTTGATATAAATACCTTGCCTCCATTGGTTCATTCTTACAGTGGAGCTCCACCATTTTTCACATGATGAGTAGCATACTTGAAGTGATTGTTCTAGCATCTATTTCCAGGGAAGTATAATTTATCCGAAGCAGAGAGCTGACCTGACCACCAGCAGGAAAACCTTGTGGTAAGTTGCAAGGTCAGAAGTAGCAAAGTCTATCAATGAGGGAAAATAACATCCTCTTCTGGGAAAATTCAGTCCCTTTTAGCACAGACAGTGATCCCTAACTCTGGCTAAGCATTGGCATCATCTGTGGAGAACTTTTTGCAGTTGTCAACTTCTGGGGGATTCTGATGCAGTATGTATAAATCTGTGTGCTGCACACACTTCCCAGGTAACTCAAATCATGAAGGTTTGGGAGCCACTGGATGGATACATGAGCTCTCAATAAGCCCTATAACTTTACTGGTCCAACCTTGTTGGCATGTGGTAGCTATACTACAAGCCAACATATATGCTGAGAGATTTTCACCAACACCATATTTCTGTCTGATAAAAGGTATCTTACATGAGAGTTCTTACAAAGTCTTCTGTGTTACTGAGCTCACAGATACTTGAGTGACAATGACAAAAAAAAATACTATTTGAAGAAGACACATTAAACCTGCAATGACCTAAATCAGTGCAGTTTGGGGTGCTTAGACATCACATAACATAATTGGGTAAAGAATAGGAGGAGAAGGATTAGAGAAAGATGGAAGAGAAGAAAGTAGAGGAAACAAGGAAAGGAAGGAAAGAGGTAGTGAGAATCCTGAGTCACAGTTTGAAGAATACATGAAAATGGATTCCATCCAGTAGAAGGCAGGGTGGAAAACTCCAGACACAATCTAAGTAATAATTATTATTGAGAACAGATCCATTTTATCTCGTTTACATTCTAAAGAAAACAGCAGCTTTCCACCAAGATCTGGTTATTCACACCCTTCTCAATCTAGACAAAGGCAGATGTCTGCGTTCCCTCAGCAGAAGGCAACCTATGAATTATTTTACATGCCTCCCCATTCCATGGGATAAAATGTAACGGATCCATCCACACTCACTTCTGGTCCACAGGTAATTCCTGCAGGGCTCGCCAACTTGGTGAGACATGCCCTTCCCTGGATGGCCACTGACATCCAGTCACACAACCTCCTCCACTTCCTAAACACTCATCTTTCACTGGCATATTCAGTTATTTTTTAAAGCAACTTTTGTCACAAAAAAGAAATCAGACTCAGGCCCATATGAAATTGACGTGAGGATGCCCAGAAGACAAAGATGCAAATGCTGCAGAAACAACCCAATCAATAGACGTACTCATAATAATAGGTTTAAAAAACTTATTTAAGTCACTGAATATTTATTAAGCACCTATTACATGACAGGCACTATTCTGGGCACATAGTAAAGACCAAGATGGATAAATTCTATTTTCCTGGTAGTTCAGCTTCTGAAACAAGCAGCACAACCTTGGGTTTATCTCCTCTACATTCTAAAGTAGGATGATCAAAGTCATAGTCATGATTCACTAAGTGTACGGATGAGTTATCGTCAATCTCTGCCACAAACTCTCCACCAACACACACACAACTCAAAAGATTTAAAAATAATTTTTATAGAAGATTAGAGAAGTTTTAGGTATCCTTAACTGTCAAAAGTCTATTGCTCATATTTACTGAAAGTCTACCACCTATCTTATTATTATTTTCCATATTATTTTCACTGTTCATTAGACTTAAACATTTTCAAAATTCTGGAAAATCATGGGCAGTGTGTTTGTTTCTTCTATGAATGCTTAATTAATACCCCATTGACTGGGCTGGGCCCGGTGCCAGATGCTGGACAACCCAATAGCTTCATTTTAGACTCTCCCTAGGAGAGAATTTAACACAGCAACTCCTGACCCAGGTGAAACTGCCACCAAAGGTCCACGGGCGTCTTCTCTGCAACTCTATATTACACCATACGGGTACAAACCTGCATCAAAACACAGATGCTGTCCAGATTGCCCTTAGACTTTCTTCTGTGAAAGAATAATTCACACCTGCAAAATTTAAAGGCACCATGTAAGGGTTGCAATATTTTCAACAAATGCAAGATGTTTCTCATTCATTACAATTAATCAATGCTGGGTGGGGAAGGTGGTTGGGACAAGAGCCACAATCAATGAAAACACAAAACGAAGCCTGCTCTACTGTGTCTTTATACCTGCCTTGCACTTTGTGTGCATCCTCACACGTGCCAGAGTCAGGGGATTCCATCATTATCCTCTTTAGAGATGATGGAAAGGAGGCTCAGACAGGTTGTCTATTCAGGGCAATGCTTGTGTCTCAGGCTTCCTCATAAGATGCTTCCTACAGACAGGATCCTACAGATGCCTTGTGCCTAGGGACTTCTCCATAACTAGTTCTTTATTTGCAGAAATAAATGCGGATAAGAAATTATTTTTATTAAGGTCAGGAGCAAGGAGGAAGAAAATGTCACTTTTTTGTGAAATCTTGTCCATGTTTAGATTTAAATGAATTTGCTGAAGGAAAGTCATCTGAAGTCCTTTTATCAATAGGAGTCATAATGACTTGTGTACTTTATTCCCTCTTTTATAATAAGGCATTTTCCTGACTCAATCATGGAGCATCCCAAGTTGAAAAATATAAATAACATTTTGCTGGCTCTGTGTCTGAGATAAAAATTCCACATTTAACAGTAAGTAACCATTTCCCCTGCCTGGGTTATAACATAGATTAGGAAACCAGGTGTTTAAGTTCAGAGGCCCCACATGTTACTGTACCTTGAATTTCAAGGAAGTGAAAATAAAAGCCTGCCTGAGCGAATCTCAGGAGGCTGTGGTGCCAGAAGGTAATTATCACCTCCAGGTACCCAGGTTTGCTTTGCTGTGGACAGATGACCTTTTATATAAAAATCTCAAACTAGCATGCCGATTTCTACTTTCTACGTTAGAAAAAATGTTACTGAGGCTCTGAGCGGAAAAAGGCAATTATTGTGTTCAAGGTTCTTTCTCTGTCATCTGACAGCTGAAGTTAAGAATTTTGGGTGATGCATGTCAATCCATTTTGCTCCATCCTTATCAGTGCTGCTAACCCATGAGCCTCCTCCACTCAGGTGCCTTTTGCTAGAGTGGTTTCAGGGACCACAGATAACAGGAAGAAAAGCCAAAAACCACAAATGAGACTTTATTTTCCACTGACCAGACAGTGGGACTCAGTTTAAAAGCTTGACTTGGGATTTTATAAAAGTACGCTCAACTACAACAGACTTCCCAGGATTCTTGAAACGTGATATTGATAACTGTGATCCAGCCACTGTATTAATTAACCTCTTTCTAGCAATGAAAAGTACGTACATAGGTTTCAAATAATTTCTATTAGGGAGAATGCAACATTATGAACAGTGTGATTTATATCTTTTCTTCAGGCAGGAAATAAATTGCAATGGTGTTACTAGTGGCAAAGATCCGAGTCACCCCAAGTTACCGGCAGCCTATCCTTAAGGGTCCACAGCAACTTCGGTCCTTGCCTCCTCGGAAGAAAGAATTTGACTGAGGGGCATAAAGTGGGGAAAGAGACCGAGGCAAGTTCCAGAGCAGGAATGGAAGTTTATTTTAAAGGCTTTGGAAAAGGAAGAAAGGACGGTGCCCTTGGAAGAGACCCAAATGGGCACGGGAAGGTTTAACAGAGGTCAAGTGCCCCATTTAATTGGGATCCTAGGACTTTCATAAGCGGGCCTCTTTCCCATGATTCCTCCCATAGGGTGGGCTGCCGGCATGCGCAGAGCCCGCCTGACCCTTTGGAATTGAGCATGCGCAGTGTGTGTAGGGAGTTAAATGCATGCCCATCGGAGGTTTTCTTTTTTCCAGTGGGGTGCACCCGGGAGACCATACTCCGCCATTTTTGTCTCTAAGATGCATGCTCAGGAATCTGTTTCTCCCTGGGGCCTGCATTCAGTTAACACTTTAAATGTTAACAGGTGTGGACCATTAGGACATTGTCTGTCCCTGGCTGCTAGATTATCTTTATTTTATTTATTTATTTATTTATTTATTTATTTATTTATTTATTTGAGATGGAGTTTTACTCTTGTCGCCCAGGCTGTAGTGCAATGGTGCGATCTCAGCTCACTGCAACCTCCGCCTCCCATGTTCAAGCGATTCTCCTGCCTCAGCCTCCCAAGTAGCTGGGATTACAGGCATGCACCACCAATCCCGGCTAATTTTTGTATTTTTAGTAGAGACAGGGTTTCACCATGTTAGCCAGGCTGGTCTTGAACTTCTGACCTCAGGCGATCTGCCTGCCTCAGCCCTCCAAAATGCTGGGATTACAGTTGTGAGCCACCGCGACCGGCTAGAATTATCATTTTTAGAGAGCCAGTTCGAAAACTGCCCAACCATCCCCTGACATTTCTAGTGGGTAGGGGGAGAGCCTTCTCCTGCCCAGCTCAGGCCTACCTACCTGTAACCTTCGGATTTGGTTGCAAGACCAAAATTAAGACACCGTCATTCAGTATGACTCATTGGGACCAAATTGGTTTCTGCATGGGCTGGTAAATCTAGATGTGTTTCTGAATTTTGGAATATCCCTTAATTACATGCTTCAGTAGGCTTTTATCCAGTGCTCCAGCAGCTAGTGACTTTCCCTTCACTGGGGCCAGGAAATTTTAGTTTTTCTTATTGTTTTAAATGATTGATCGGTGCCATGAGAAGTCAACTTAACCACTGGTATATTTTACTGTGAAATGTGTAAGTTATTTATACATAGCAATAACAAAATAGAAGGCCGGGCGTCGTGGCTTATGTCTGTAATCCCAGCATTTTGGGAGGCTGAGGCGGGTGGATCACCTAAGGTCAGGAGTTTGAGACCAGCCTGGCCAACATGGTGAAACCCTGCCTCTACTAAAAATACAAAAAAGTAGCCGGACCTGGTGGGGTGCACCTGTAATCTGAGCTGCTTGGGAGGCTGGGGCAAGAGAATCGCTTGAACTCGGGAGGTGGAGGTTGCAGTGAGCCGAGGTCATGCCATTGCACTCCATCCTGGACAATAAAAGTGAAACTCCGTCTCAAAAAAAAAACCACACACACACACACACACACACACACACACAAATAATAAAATAGAAATATAACTAACATGGCGTAGAGTCAAGATTCTATTTTTCAAATAGACCATAAAGGGAAGCGTGCTTGTATAAATGCAAAAAGAATAAATAAAAAAAGACATTTCAACCTAAAATGCTTTTTAAATTACCACCCCAATACAGTTTAATTGTAGCCTCAGATCAATAGTTGTAAATACTTTATTACAAAAATAATGACTTTCATATACTCTTTTGTGAATATAAAAGATACCATCGTCAAAAATTTACAAAATAAAAAGGGAAGTAAATATTTCAATATCAATTATACACTCACCAAGAAGAACCATTTTTACTATATATTCCTCTATGCTTGTGTTACTTCTTATAAATACATACCTGTAATTATCAGGCTGGACATGCCGCATTGTAGCCTGTTTCCATTCAACAATAACTCATGAACCCTTCTGTGTATTAAATACTTTTCTACACATCTGTTTCAATGCATTTATTGAATTTCATCATATGAATCGTTTCTATTTTGTGTATCTAGTTTCCTATTGCGTACATTTAAACTAATTACTATTCTTGCTATTGTATATATGTATTTGATAATTGCATTGTTTGTAGTCTTCGAATATTTTTTGAATATTTAAACCCACATATACCCTAGGATAATTTGGAGAAGTAGCATTGCTGGGGTTTCACACGTTTGCTCACATAATTGTATGTTAAGAGTGGTCCATTTCTCCATACCCACCCATATTGCCCTGGGCAGAAATTTCCTTCTCTAATTGTTCGCTTGGTTCCAGATTAACACCACAGGCTTCTTGCAGCCTATGGCTTTATGGCTGACGGCTCCATGGGGAGCGCACTCCCACCCTCTTCTAAAGATTGGCTCAGAGTCAGTCTCTGCAGAACACTGAGGGCTCCTAACAGAATGGAGCAGCACCACTAGGATGGCCTATCCTCCAGAGGCCTGGAGAGAAGGAGAAACCATTCCAATTTCTTCCAACCCAGCACCCGACACACCTGAGTTTACTTCAACAAAAGGACAAACATAATTCGAAGAGGATAATTACCCTATCATCATGAAATAAAAACAAAAAACATGTTTTCCTGAGGAGATAGAATTCTCATCTGTCTGTCTGTATCTATCTAGCTAGCTAGCCAGCCATCTATTGTTTGTCTGTATCTATCTGTCTGTCTGTATCTATCTATCTAGCTAGCCAGCCATCTATTGTTTGTATCTATCTGTCTGTCTGTTTATCTATCTATCCTTCCATCTATCATCTGTTTCTATTTTGAAACAGGGCATTGTTCTGTCACCCAGGCTGGACTGCAGTGGTGCAATCATGGCTCCCCGCAGCCTCCACCCCCTGAGCTCTAGCCATCCTCCCACTTCAGCCTCCCTGGTAGCTGGGACTATAGGCATTCGTCACCACACCGAGCTAATTTTTAAATTTTTTTGTAGAGATGAGATCTCACTATTGTCGAGGCTAGTCTCAAACTCCTGGCCTCAAGTGATCCTCCCACCTCAGCCTCCCAAAGTGCTGGGATTATAAGCATGAGCCACCACCACACCCAGCCTATATATTTTATTTATGTTTTACATATAAATGAATTAATATCATTATTAAATAAATATACATTTACTATGGATTTTACTTATATGTTATTTGTATGCATATATGCATTCATATAAACATTTCATACATTACATATAAAATTGTATATTTATGTAAATTTTTATATATTTTATATTTATATATACACATATAAAATGTATGTGTATATACAATTATATATATATATATATGAAAAGCTTGGACATCACAGATGTGCCAAATGGAAAAAAATATCTAAAGCTTAAGTAGCAAATGCAATATTGAATTCAGGCCAAATTAATTAAAGTATAACAGGTGTAGAAAGCTTGATGCTTACTCACAAAGCAATCACGCCTGGTCCGCCAGCTCCAGTTCAGGAGGCAACTGAGGACTGGGCTGACCCATGCTCCTTCCTGTTCCTGTCCTCTCAAAGGGAATCACCATCCTGACTACAAACAACACGAATTAATTTTGCCTGTGTTTGCATTTTATGTAAGTGGAGTCATACAGTATATACTATATATTTATTTCTTCACCATGTTGTGACATGCAAAAGACTTGCAGCATATATTGCTTTGTGCCTGGCTTCCTTTGCATAGCATTCTGGTACATGTAGTTATGGATAATTTATTCTTGTTGTTGTAGAGTGTTTTTCTGTATGATTATATCACAATTCATCCATCTGCTCTTAATGGTTATTTTCCTTTCCTTCATATCATTCTCACAAATGCTACTGGAGGGTCTACTATGGGCCAGCAGTATTCTAGGTTCTGAAACTTCTGTGCTGACCAGGACAGATTAAACTCAATTTGCTGGAAGAGACAGACACAAGTGTTAAAATAATTTTGGAAAAAGACAAATACTATGTGACAATAGTGCAGGTGGGTATGGAGGAATGCAACGTGGTGGGTAGGGAATATGAGTGGTCATGGTAAATTTTTCCAGAGAGGGAGTATTCGAGCTGACACCCAGATGAAGACCAAGAGGCAAGCAAAGGTGGAATGGAAGATCATGCCAAGAAAAATGAATGATCACCCCAAAGGGCCTGAGTTAAGAAGAAACCCAGCCTGCCTGAGGAACAGAACGAAGTCCAGTATGACTAGAACAAAATGAGAACAGGGAGAGAATGGGGAACAAGGTGATTTAATTGGGGCTAAATGAGGAAGATTCCCAAAGGCCATGGTGAAAAGTGGGGCTTCTATGATAAGGTCAGTGGGAGGCCATTGGGTTGCTTTTGAGCAGGGTAGTGACTTAATCTTATGTACTAGGGAATTTAATTTATTTTCTGTATTCTCTGCCATCTTAACCACTGGCTATCAATAAATGACAAGCTAGGAATGTTAACAGAATAAGTATATTTTATTGGATAATGGGAGTGGGAATTTAGAATAAGCTCCTTTCAAGAATTCTCATTTCTACCTTAGCAGGGACACTGAACACTGATTAAATTTCTCTGGAAGTGCTGGAAAGTGTACAGACTCCTGTCTCTGCCCATAGCATTTATTCCCCAAATTGGCCACTTCTTGTCACTCAGAGTGCATTACACGAGTCTAAAGTCGAGCTTATTGTTACTATACTTAACAACTTTACTAAACACAAAATGCATTTATTGGAGATTAGATCAGACTTCTGAATTGCCTTTTGTTTTTTGGGGGTGAGGGAGAAAAAAAGATTCATAAGGGATTTGTTTCAAATAGAAGTCATTCTTGTCAAGCTATGTCTTTAAAACTTAGTTCTACAATAGATTTGCCAAAAAATCAATTACTTGCCTAGAGACAGAGTAGATACATTTTTTTCTTGTAACCTAATTCCAAGAATTGTCTTACGGGTAGTGTTTCTTATCTAACTCTGAACATCCTCTTCTGCTATCTGTGAATTTCTTATAAGAATACTTGGGGCTGGGCATGGTAGCTCACGCCTGTAATCCCAGCACTTTGGGAGGCCGAGGCAGGCAGATCACGAGGTCAAGAGATCGAGACCATCCTGGCTAACACGGTGAAAACCCGTCTCTACTAAAAATACAAAAAAAAATTAGCTGGGCGTGGTGGCGGGCGCCCGTAGTCCCAGCTACTCAGGAGGCTGAGGCAGGAGAATGGCATGAAACCGGGAGGCAGAGCTTGCAGTGAGCTGAGATTGCGCCACTGCACTCCAGCCTGGGCGACACAGCGAGACTCCTCTCAAAAAAAAAAAAGAGAATACTTGGAATTGTTTCTAACTTGGTGCTCTTTTTTAATTAAATGCTATATTATACTTTCTCCTTATATTTGTGTGTCACATACTAATGTTGATTTATAAATAATTGTTTCCTGGGATGCTGCTTTTGAATTAATTAAGAGGTAATATAGGAAAAAGGAGTGTCTTCCTGCTCAAATTAGTTGAAGAAGCTGCCTTCAACTGGTGATGTTAATGACGGATTTCTCAGTTAACTAGTGATTCGTGTTTTGGGGCGATGCTTAAAACAGCATATTTGAATAGACTGCTCCTGAATTTACTCATTGTATATCTGGTCAACAAACATTATTGATAACTTTTATGGTCTACATCCTGACCTAGACAATAAGGTTAAAGAGATAAATTAGAAAAACCAGTTCCTCCTTTTAAAAAACTTAGAAATAAATGGGAATGTTCCATGTAATCTATCCAGCGATGCAATTTTTTAAATTATTAATAAAAGGAAAAGCATTAAAAAATAAAAAGAAATGAATGGGAATGTAAGGTCATCAATTTATTACAACTGTTGCAGTTGATACAAAGAAGAATTAAGGGGTTATCCTAGTTCACATCAAAATATATGCCAGATGCCCTCTTTATAGTGTCAGAATTTTACTTGAAAAACTGTCTATTTTATAGCCTGCATTTTCACCCTGGTATTTTTTTTAATATTTTTTTTTTATTATACTTTAAGTTTTAGGGTACATGTGCACATTGTGCAGGTTAGTTACATATGTATACATGTGCCATGCTGGTACGCTGCACCCACTAACTCGTCATCTAGCATTAGGTATATTTCCCGATGCTATCCCTCCCCCCCCCCACCCCACAACAGTCCCGAGAGTGTGATATTCCCCTCCCTGTGTCCATGTGATCTCATTGTTCAATTCCCACCTATGAGTGAGAATATGCGGTGTTTGGTTTTTTGTTCTTGCAATAGTTTACTGAGAATGATGATTTCCAATTTCATTCATGTCCCTACAAAGGACATGAACTCATCATTTTTTATGGCTGCATAGTATTCCATGGTGTATATGTGCCACATTTTCTTAATCCAGTCTATCATTGTTGGACATTTGGGTTGATTCCAAGTCTTTGCTATTGTGAATAATGCCGCAATAAACATACGTGTGCATGTGTCTTTATAGCAGCATGATTTATAGTCCTTTGGGTATATACCCAGTAATGGGATGGCTGGGTCAAATGGTATTTCCAGTTCTAGATCCCTGAGGAATCGCCACACTGACTTCCACAATGGTTGAACTAGTTTACAGTCCCACCAACAGTGTAAAAGTGTTCCTATTTCTCCACATCCTCTCCAGCACCTGTTGTTTCCTGACTTTTTAATGATTGCCATTCTAACTGGTGTGAGATGGTATCTCATTGTGGTTTTGATTTGCATTTCTCTGATGGCCAGTGATGATGAGCATTTTTTCATGTGTCTTTTGGCTGCATAAATGTTTTCTTTTGAGAAGTGTCTGTTCATGTCCTTCGCCCACTTTTTGATGGGGTTGTTTGTTTTTTTCTTGTAAATTTGTTTGAGTTCATTGTAGATTCTGGATATTAGCCCTTTGTCAGAGGAGTAGGTTGCGAAAATTTTCTCCCATTTTGTAGGTTGCCTGTTCACTCTGATGGTAGTTTCTTTTGCTGTGCAGAAGCTCTTTAGTTTAATTAGATCCCATTTGTCAATTTTGTCTTTTGTTGCCATTGCTTTTGGTGCTTTAGACATGAAGTCCTTGCCCATGCCTATGTCGTGAATGGTAATGCCTAGGTTTTCTTCTAGGGTTTTTATGGTTTTAGGTCTAACGTTTAAGTCTTTAATCCATCTTGAATTGATTTTTGTGTAAGGTGTAAGGAAGGGATCCAGTTTCAGCTTTCTACATATGGCTAAGCCAGTTTTCCCAGCACCATTTATTAAATAGGGAATCCTTTCCCCATTGCTTGTTTTTCTCAGGTTTGTCAAAGATCAGATAGTTGTAGATATGTGGCGTTATTTCTGAGGGCTCTGTTCTGTTCCATTGATCTATATCTCTGTTTTGGTACCAGTACCATGCTGTTTTGGTTACTGTAGCCTTGTAGTATAGTTTGAAGTCAGGTAGTGTGATGCCTCCAGCTTTGTTCTTTTGGCTTAGGATTGACTTGGCAATGCGGGCTCTTTTTTGGTTCCATATGAACTTTAAAGTAGTTTTTTCCAATTCTGTGAAGAAAGTCATTGGTAGCTTGATGGGGATGGCATTGAATCTGTAAATGACCTTGGGCAGTATGGCCATTTTCACGATATTGATTCTTCCTACCCATGAGCATGGAATGTTCTTCCATTTGTTTGTATCCTCTTTTATTTCCTTGAGCAGTGGTTTGTAGTTCTCCTTGAAGAGGTCCTTCACATCCCTTGTAAGTTGGATTCCTAGGTATTTTATTCTCTTTGAAGCAATTGTGAATGGGAGTTCACTCATGATTTGGCTCTCTGTTTGTCTGTTGTTGGTGTATAAGAATGCTTGTGATTTTTGTACATTGATTTTGTATCCTGAGACTTTGCTGAAGTTGCTTATCAGCTTAAGGAGATATTGGGCTGAGACAATGGGGTTTTCTAGATATACAATCATGTCATCTGCAAACAGGGACAATTTGACTTCCTCTTTTCCTAATTGAATACCCGTTATTTCCTTCACCTGCCTAATTGCCCTGGCCAGAACTTCCAACACTATGTTGAATAGGAGTGGTGAGAGAGGGCATCCCTGTCTTGTGCCAGTTTTCAAAGGGAATGCTTCCAGTTTTTGCCCATTCAGTATGATATTGGCTGTGGGTTTGTCATAGATAGCTCTTATTATTTTGAGATACGTCCCGTCAATACCTAATTTATTGAGAGTTTTTAGCGTGAAGGGTTGTTGAATTTTGTCAAAGGCTTTTTCTGCATCTATTGAGATAATCATGTGGTTTTTGTCTTTGGCTCTGTTTATATGCTGGATTACATTTATTGATTTGCGTATATTGAACCAGCCTTGCATCCCAGGGATGAAGCCCACTTGATCATGGTGGATAAGCTTTTTGATGTGCTGCTGGATTTGGTTTGCCAGTATTTTATTGAGGATTTTTGCATCAATGTTCATCAAGGATATTGGTCTAAAATTCTCTTTTTTTGTTGTGTCTCTGCCTGGCTTTGGTATCAGAATGATGCTGGCCTCATAAAATGAGTTAGGGAGGATTCCCTCTTTTTCTATTGATTGGAATAGTTTCAGAAGGAATGGTACCAGTTCCTCCTTGTACCTCTGGTAGAATTTGGCTGTGAATCCATCTGGTCCTGGACTCTTTTTGGTTGGTAAGCTATTGATTATTGCCACAATTTCAGATCCTGTTATTGGTCTATTCAGAGATTCAACTTCTTCCTGGTTTAGTCTTGGGAGAGTGTATGTGTCCAGGAATTTATCCATTTCTTCTAGATTTTCTAGTTTATTTGCGTAGAGGTGTTTGTAGTATTCTCTGATGGTAGTTTGTATTTCTGTGGGATCGGTAGTGATATCCCCTTTATCATTTTTTATTGGGTCTATTTGATTCATCTCTCTTTTTTTCTTTATTAGTCTTGCTAGCGGTCTATCAATTTTGTTGATCCTTTCAAAAAACCAGCTCCTGGATTCATTAATTTTTTGAAGGGTTTTTTGTGTCTCTATTTCCTTCAGTTCTGCTCTGATTTTAGTTATCTCTTGCCTTCTGCTAGCTTTTGAATGTGTTTGCTCTTGCTTTTCTAGTTCTTTTAATTGTGATGTTAGGGTGTCAATTTTGGATCTTTCCTGCTTTCTCTTGTGGGCATTTAGTGCTATAAATTTCCCTCTACACACTGCTTTGAATGCGTCCCAGAGATTCTGGTATGTTGTGTCTTTGTTCTTGTTGGTTTCAAAGAACATCTTTATTTCTGCCTTCATTTCGTTATGTACCCAGTAGTCATTCAGGAGCAGGTTGTTCAGTTTTCATGTAGTTGAGCGGTTTTGAGTGAGATTCTTAATCCTGAGTTCTAGTTTGATTGCACTGTGGTCTGAGAGATAGTTTGTTATAATTTCTGTTCTTTTACATTTGCTGAGGAGAGCTTTACTTCCCAGTATGTGGTCAATTTTGGAATAGGTGTGGTGTGGTGCTGAAAAAAATGTATATTCTGTTGATTTGGGGTGGAGAGTTCTGTAGATGTCTATTAGGTCTGCTTGGTGCAGAGCTGAGTTCAATTCCTGGGTATCCTTGTTGACTTTCTGTCTCGTTGATCTGTCTAATGTTGACAGTGGGGTGTTAAAGTCTCCCATTATTAATGTGTGGGAGTCTAAGTCTCTCTGTAGGTCACTCAGGACTTGCTTTATGAATCTTGGTGCTCCTGTATTGGGTGCATATATATTTAGGATAGTTAGCTCTTCTTGTTGAATTGATCCCTTTACCATTATGTAATGGCCTTCTTTGTCTCTTTTGATCTTTGTTGGTTTAAAGTCCGTTTTATCAGAGACTAGGATTGCAACCCCTGCCTTTTTTTGTTTTCCATTTGCTTGGTAGATCTTCCTCCATCCTTTTATTTTGAGCCTATGTGTGTCTCTGCACGTGAGATGGGTTTCCTGAATACAGCACACTGATGGATCTTGACTCTTTATCCAATTTGCCAGTCTGTGTCTTTTAATTGGAGCATTTAGTCCATTGACATTTAAAGTTAATATTGTTATGTGTGAATTTGATCCTGTCATTATGATGTTAGCTCGTTATTTTGCTCGTTAGTTGATGCAGTTTCTTCCTAGTCTCGATGGTCTTTACATTTTGGCATGATTTTGCAGCGGCTGGTATTGGTTGTTCCTTTCCATGTTTAGTGCTTCCTTCAGGAGCTCTTGTAAGGCAGGCCTGGTGGTGACAAAATCTCTCAGCATTTGCTTGTCTGTAAAGTATTTTATTTCTCCTTCACTTATGAAGCTTAGTTTGGCTGGATATGAAATTCTGGGTTGAAAATTCTTTTCTTTAAGAATGTTGAATATTGGCCCCCACTCTCTTCTGGCTTGTAGGGTTTCTGCCGAGGAATCCACTGTTAGTCTGATGGGCTTCCCTTTGAGGGTAACCCGACCTTTCTCTCTGGCTGCCCTTAACATTTTTTCCTTCATTTCAACTTTGGTGAATCTGACAATTATGTGTCTTGGAGTTGCTCTTCTCGAGGAGTATCTTTGTGGCGTTCTCTGTATTTCCTGAATCTGAACGTTGGCCTGCCTTGCTAGATTGGGGAAGTTCTCCTGGATAATATCCTGCAGAGTGTTTTCCAACTTGGTTCCATTCTTCCCATCACTTTCAGGTACACCAATCAGACGTAGATTTGGTCTTTTCACATAGTCCCATATTTCTTGGAGGCTTTGCTCATTTCTTTTTATTCTTTTTTCTCTAAACTTCCCTTCTCGCTTCATTTCATTCATTTCATCTTCCATTGCTGATACTCTTTCTTACAGTTGATCGCATCGGCTCCTAAGGCTTCTGCATTCTTCACGTAGTTCTCGAGCCTTGGTTTTCAGCTCCATCAGCTCCTTTAAGCACTTCTCTGTATTGGTTATTCTAGTTATACATTCTTCTAAATTTTTTTCAAAGTTTTCAACTTCTTTGCCTTTGGTTTGAATGTCCTCCCGTAGCTCAGAGTAATTTGATCGTCTGAAGCCTTCTTCTCTCAGCTCGTCAAAGTCATTCTCCATCCAGCTTTGTTCCGTTGCTGGTGAGGAACTGCGTTCCTTTGGAGGAGGAGAGGCGCTCTGCTTTTTAGAGTTTCCAGTTTTTCTGTTCTGTTTTTTCCCCATCTTTGTGGTTTTATCTACTTTTGGTCTTTGATGATGGTGATGTACAGATGGGTTTTTGGTGTGGATGTCCTTTCTGTTTGTTAGTTTTCCTTCTAACAGACAGGACCCTCAGCTGCAGGTCTGTTGGAATACCCTGCTGTGTGAGGTGTCAGTGTGCCCCTGCTGGGGGGTGCCTCCCAGTTAGGCTGCTCGGGGGTCAGGGGTCAGGGACCCACTTGAGGAGGCAGTCTGCCCGTTCTCAGATCTCCAGCTGCGTGCTGGGAGAACCACTGCTCTCTTCAAAGCTGTCAGACAGGGACATTTAAGTCTGCAGAGGTTACTGCTGTCTTTTTGTTTGTCTGTGCCCTGCCCCCAGAGGTGGAGCCTACAGAGGCAGGCAGGCCTCCTTGAGCTGTGGAAGCTCCACCCAGTTCGAGCTTCCCGGCTGCTTTGTTTACCTAATCAAGCCTGGGCAATGGTGGGCGCCCCTCCCCCAGCCTCGCTGCCGCCTTGCAGTTTGATCTCAGACTGCTGTGCTAGCAATCAGCAAGACTCCATGGGCGTAGGACCCTCCGAGCCAGGTGCGGGATATAATCTCGTGGTGCGCCGTTTTTTAAACCCGTCGGAAAAGCGCAGTATTCGGGTGGGAGTGACCCGATTTTCCAGGTGCCATCCGTCACCCCTTTCTTTGACTCAGAAAGGGAACTCCCTGACCCCTTGCGCTTCCCAAGTGAGGCAATGCCTCGCCCTGCTTCGGCTCGAGCACGGTGCGCGACCCCACTGACCTGCGCCCACTGTCTGGCACTCCCTAGTGAGATGAACCCGGTACCTCAGATGGAAATGCAGAAATCACCCGTCTTCTGCATCGCTCACGTTGGGAGCTATAGACCGGAGCTGTTCCTATTCGGCCATCTTGGCTCCTCCCCTTCACCCTGGTATTTTAAGAATGCATTTAAATATTTTATTTCACCTTACTTGTTTTGCATGTGTAGTCCTTTTAATCTTAGGTATTAAATATATAAAACAGACTTTCACAACTAGTTAAAGAATTTTCAAAGGGCAGATAAAATATGTAATTTTCATCTTTCCAAACTGGTGCTATGTAACATACGAAGTGCAATTAATGGTCATAATAACATGCTTAAACACCAAACCGAAAGAATGCATCTGGAGTTATTAACTAGGAACTAAATGAGGAAAAAAAAGTATGTATGTGTGTATGTGAGTGTGTGTGTGTGTCTGTGTGTGTGTTCTATAGTGAGATGCAACTTAATTTTTTTTTCCAAGTAAAATATAGGCAGGAGCTTTCTCTGGAGGAAGTAGTAGGAAATGGTTCACCCTCCTTCAGGAAAAAAAACTGGACAAATATATAAAACAGTTTTAAATACATAGATATAGGCAAAAAGTAGTGATTTATGAGAGAAGGGAAAATAATGAAGTAAACTCCCAAATTTCCCCACATGTACTGCCTTGAGAAACCTTTCAGTCCACAGAAGGGGATGGGGGATATCTCAGAGAGGAGCCATCTGACTGGGAACTGGAGAGGAGAGAGATCCAGAGAAATCTCCAGAGGCCCCTCCAGCTGTTCAGCTGGCTGTTAATCAGCACAGTGATGCAGAAACTGACTGTGGCCAGGGGAAACATTATGTGGAAGAATTCGAGAGGACAGCACCATGATACCACATGCAAGCTTAGCATGGTTGGCCCATCACCTAAACACAGAGACCTCATAATTCAATGAGAAATAAGGTAGGATACTCTTAAAAGGTCTTCACTACCTACTGAATTACAATGAACTCTTAGCTTTAAATTAATGCTGCTCTATTTCTGTCTAATAAATCTTAAAAGCCTTACCCAAAAGGATTATTTCCAAATACCTTAATTGTGTTCCACAACAAAACTCAATATCTATATAAATTACATAATTTTATATAGCATATATATGTGTATATCCCCCAGAAGGATACATTCCAAAATATCTTGCATCCAATCAAAAATTACCAGGCATGCCTATGATGAGAAGAAACCTCAATCGAAACATCTAAAACTGACACGTGTGTTACGATTAGAAGAAAAAGACATTATAACAGTCATTCAGTGTGTACAGAAAGCGGAGAGAAGTGTTAAGATGTGGCAGGGAGACAAAACATAAAAAGGACACAAGTTGGCCGGGCGCAGTGGCTCACGCCTGTACTCCCAGCACTTTGGGAGGCTGAGGTGGGAGGATCACGAGGTCAGGAGATCGAGACCATCTTGGCCAACATGGTGAAACCCCTTCGCTACTAAAATACAAAAAATTAGCCAGACATGGTGGCATGTGCCTGTAGTCCCAGCTACTTGGGAGGCTGAGGCAGGGGAATCGCTTGAACCCGGGAGCTGGAGGTTGCAGTGAGCTGAGATCCCGCCACTGAACTCCAGCCTGGTGACACAGCAAGACTCCATCTCAAAATAAATAAATAAATAAAGGATACAAGTTAAAATTGTATAGATGAGGCTGGGTGCAGTGGGTCATGCCTGTAATCTCAGCACTTGGGAGGCCGAGGCGGGAGGATCACAAGGTCAAGAGATCGAGACCATTCTAGCCAATATGGTGAAACCCCATCTCTACTAAAAATAGAAAAATTAGCCAGGCGCCTATAGTCCCAGCTACTCAAGAGGCTGAGGCAGGAGAATCGCTTGAACCCGGGAGGCGGAGGTTGCAGTGAGCTGAGATCGCACCACTGCACTCTGCCTGGTGACAGAGTGAGACTGCATCTCAAAAAAAAAAAATTTGTATAGATTGTGTGAAATGAGCAATTATGTTGGATATGGTAAGCAACAGATTAGACAATACAGAAGAAGATATTAGTGAATATGACAAATTAATAAAAAACTAGCCATGCTGAACCAGAGAGAGACAGGGAGAGAGAAGAAAACAAAAACAAAAAAGAACAGAGATTTACTGTGCTTAGGAGAAGTAGCCTAATAAT
Organism: Homo sapiens; assembly: GCF_000001405.40. Lineage (NCBI taxonomy): Eukaryota > Metazoa > Chordata > Mammalia > Primates > Hominidae > Homo > Homo sapiens. The sequence continues at coordinate 49,199 of NW_019805499.1, forward strand.
TGTGTAACTGGAGTTCCCCAAATAAGGACGTACAAAAAACATTTGAATGAATAATGTAATGAAATGATAAACACACAAATCTAAGAAGCTTAATAAAACCCAAGCCCAAGAACCATACAAAATACACAAAGAAATATTATAACCAAATTGTCCAAAACAGTTTACAAAGAAAAAAATCTTAAAAACAAAGTAAAAATAAATGTTATATAGAGAGGAAGAACTCTAAGAGTTGCAATATATTTCTTGTCAAAAGCAATGCAAATGAGAAGACAGAAAGACACCATTTTCACATGAAAGAAAGAAAATAGTAGCCAAGTTAGAATTCTGTGTGCACTCATATATACTTATTTTTTTAATACAAAAGGATGTTTTTAGATTTACAAAAGCCAAAAGCTGAAGGAATTTATTACTGGAAGACTTCACTACAATAAATGATAATTCAATAGAATAAAAAATAATACAAGATGAAAACATGGACCTAATCAAAAAAATAAAGAGGACTTGAAATTGTAATCACTTTGGTAAATCTATGAGTATTACCTTATTATTTTAATCACCCTAAAAGATGATGAAGCAGAATTAATTCACGGAGCAAATACTTCTTAAGCACCTATTAGATCACAGGCACTTAAGGTGGCTATTGGGATACTACATCAAACAGCTGTGTGAAAATACCTTGAAGGAACTATGTAAACACTGTATTCTAAAATAATATGCAAGGTATGTTCTTTACAACTTGTTTTATTGGAAATACAATTATAAACAACCAAATTTCAAGTTATTAACCAGTACTAATTTATAATCACTGTGTATTACAGCAAACTCAATGCTTCAGTGACTTCCAAATCTACTGAGAGATAAGAATTGATAATGTACTGATAAACTTAGTTAGGACTTTTAAATTGTTCTTGGTTTAAGGAAAAGCTATATTTAGAATGATTTCCAGGCCAAGTGTGGTGGCTCACTCCTGTGATCCTAGCACTTTGGGAGGCCAAGCTGGGTGGACCACTTAAGGTCAGGAGTTTGAGACCAGCTTGGCCAACATGGCAAAACCCCGTCTCTACTAAGAAAACAAAAATTAGCTTGGCGTGGTGGTGCACGCTGATAATCCCAGCTACTCTAGAGGCTGAGGCATAAGAATCCTTTGAACCTTGGAGGCAGAGGTTGCAGTGAGCACTCCAGTCTAGGCGACAGAGTGAGACCCTGTCCCCCACTCCCCACCGCCAAAAAAAAAAAAAAAAAAAAAAAAAAAAGATTTCCCTTTGCATGTACTTAGGATCTCCAGTTGCTGAAAATTTCAAAGGAATTTTAAAGTATACTTGCAAAAATTCTATATAGGCATTGATATAACTTTTATAGTATTCAAAAATAGTATTTTATAGTATTCAACTTTTATAGTATTCTGGATTTACTATTCACTTTCTAACCTGCCTATAAGACACTGGAGTACAGACATCACATTTTGGCTTGTTTTAAAGGCCCCACATCTAACCATCACAGTGAATGCATATAGCAAGTCTTGATGGGAGCATGTTCAACAAAAAGGCAGAGTTGTTCAGCAGATGAGACTCAGGCTTTGGGGTTATATGAATCCACGTGTTATTTACTTCTCGACCACTTACTGATTTTATGCCCGTACTAGTTCCCTAGACCTGCCATAACCAAGAGTCACAAACTTGGTGGCTTAAACTACAGATGTTCTAGAGTCTGGAAGTGCAAAATTGAAGTGTAGGCAGTCGTCATGCTTCCATCAAAGCCTCTAGGGAGGGTTCCTCTAGGGAGGGTTCCCCTGGGGAGGGTTCCTCTTCACCTCTCCCACTTTAGGGTAGCTCCAGGAGCCTTCACTTGTGGTTCATCGCTGTCATCCTGCCTTTGTCATCTGCATATGGCCGTTTTCTCTCAGTGTCTTTACATTGTCTTCCCTCTGTGTTATCTCTGTCTCTGTATCCAAATTCCCCCTTTTTATAAGGACACCTGTCTTATTGGATTAAGGCTCATCCTCATGACCTCATCCTAACTTGACATCTGTAAACATCCTATTTCTAAATAAGGTGATAGTCACAGATACTAGAGGTTAGGACCTCAACATGTCTTTTTGGGGAGACAATTCAACCCATAAAAATGACCTTGAGCCAGGTCCTGATTCCTCTAGGCCTTGGATCATCAACAAAATAGAAAAAAAAATCAGCAGCAGTGATTGAATTATTTTGACAAGAAATTGAGATGGGGGTGTATAGTGCATCACTCTGAAGTGTTGGTTCTTTGCAGAGAAAGGAGCTTAATATTAGAAAGTCTTTTTCCTTATTTAAGGTGGAAACAATTATAGTGCGGGGAGGGAAAGTGGAGGATGATGATGGAATGGGAGTGAGGAAAACCATTTCACTATTTTTGTTTTGATTTGTTTTGAGATGGAGTTTCGCTCTTTTTGCCCAGGCTGGAGTGCAATGGCACGATCTTGGCTCACTGCAACCTCCACCTCCTGGGTTCAAGTGATTCTCCCGCCTCAGCCTCCCGAGTAGCTGGGATTACAGGCACGCGCCACCACACCCGGCTAATTTTGTATTTTTAGTAGAGATGGAGTTTCTCCATGTTGGTCAGGCTGGTCTCGAACTCCCAACCTCAGGTGATCTGCCTGCCTCGGCCTCCCAAAATGCTGGGATTACAGGTGTGAGCCACCACACCTAGCCCATTTCACTCTTAAGGTTCTACTGAAAATCCACAATGAAATGGGGATTTTTTATTTCTTTCTTTATTTTTTTGAGACAGGGTCTCCCAGGCTGGAGTGCAGGAGCTGTGATCATGCCTCACTGCAGCCTTGATTTCCCAGGCTCAAGCAATCCTCCCACCTCAGCTTCCCGAGTGGCGGAGACTACAGGCACATAACATCATGCCCAGCTAATTTTTGTATTATTTGTAGAGACAAGGTTTTGCCATGTTATCCAGGCTAGTCTTGAACTCCTGAGCTCAAGCGATCCACCCACCTGAGTCTCCCAGAGTGCTGGGATTGCAAGCATGAGCCACCACACCAGGCTGAAACAAGATATTCTTAATCTGAGTTGGAGAATCTTAGCATTTCAGGTCTTTGAAGAAATTGAAATGCTACTAAATTAAAGAAGAATATGAGATAATATTGTATGAAAACTATACATTTTATAAAATCAGATAATTCTTTATTACTGAGTGATCTTAGCAAACCTATGGAAAGAATCTTATCTATCTACATAGTAAGCAAATACAACTCATATCTATGTTAACATGTCTAAATGAATTTTTTTTAATATCTATGTTAACATATCTAAATGAATTTTTTAATATTTTGATATACCCCTCGGTCCCAATAACAGGATTTTTGCTTAGGGAGAAAACACTGTTTTGAGTCTCCTGATCATCACTGTAGCAGCACTTTTACCTTTGGGATCGTCTCAGAATTCACCTAATTCAAAGCTTCCATGCAATTACACTGCCACATTTTCCCAATTTAGAAATTCTAATGGCCCCCAGTGGATATTTTCACAGGTTGAATTTCAGAGACAGCTTAACTATCACATGTTTTGTTCTAAATACCCTTATCCAACTTCCAATTTGCCAGCCAGCCACCAATATACATTGCCTGAGAAAGCGCAAATGTGCTTCACGAACAGCATGAGATTCTAACTCTAATACATTTAAACCCCAGGCTCACCACTTGTGCACCTGTTAGAATTGCATATTCTTTCTTTCTGCTAATAGCTTTCAAACTATTTAGCAGGTGACAGCCACACCTAGAAGAACACATCCAGAAAAACATTAACAAGACGCCGTAATGTGAAATGCCAGACACATTAAAATAGCATGCTGTGAATAGGAGATACAGGCTTTGCTCTCTGAAAGGCATGGTCCAAGGGGCTCAAGTTCAAAGGGGGAAAAATTCTGTCTACGCTGCTGCATGAGTAAATGAAACAAGAACATACTGGAAGGAAAAGTTCTGAGAGTAGGAAACTGAGATTGCAGGCCTGCTATCCTAAAAGAACTGTTTATAGCAGGAATTTCCAGGAAGTTTGGAGAAATGTCTGAATTTCTGGGACTCAATTGCAGCACTTGCTTAACAATAAACATTGCCTTCTTTTCTGTGTCTTTTCCCATGCTGAGGTATCTCTGGGGATTGGGGTATGTTACTGAGACTTTGGCATTGCTGAGTTTTTTCTATGCTGTTTCCAGGATCCTTTTATGCTCATGTTGCATTTGTGTGTGTGATAGTGTAGTAGATGGGCAGCCAGGGCTAAGTCAACACATTTATTTCAGTTTCTTCATTTCAGAGACAGTCTTTTATTTGAACAATGAAAAGTAAATAGAAACCAGGCAACTTTTTTGGAGCCACATTAATATATTTTTTCTCATGAGGTTTCATTGTGAGTCTAATAACTGTGTAGAGATTCACGACTCCAGCAATTAGCTTCTGGATATTTCTTTCAATCTGATAGTGTAGTTTGCCTGGCAGTCAGATCGATAGCTTGGGGGTTGAATGCAGCCTTCAATTACTTCTACCTGAAGACCTGATCTTCAATTCTACAGTGCTGATTAGTGTATGTATTTCATTAGAACATTAGTGCTTAAAATTCACATTCATCACGGCAGTGCCTGGCTGTCCACAGGTTAAGAAGGGGAACGGAAGGCAAAGCTTAGAAAGAAACCCTTATCTTGACTTGACTTGAGTCCACATCTCTCAACTGTCTTCCATGTTTTTTTTTTTTTTTGTTTTGTTTTTGAAATGGCGTCTCGCTCTGTCACCCAGGCTGGAGTGCAGTGGCGTGATCTTAGCTCACTGCAAGCTCTGCCTTCTGGGTTCACGCCATTCTCCTGCCTCAGCCTCCCAAGTAACTGGGACTACAGGCACCTGCCCCCAAGCCCAGCTAGTTTTTGTATGTTTAGCAGAGACAGGGTTTCACCATGTTAGCCAGAATGGTCTGGATCTCCTGACCCCATGATCCACCTGCCTCGGCATCCCAAAGTGCTGGAATTACAGGTGTGAGCCACTACCCCTGGCCCTTCCATGGTTTTCAATACATCCATCTGATCACTGATATTTAAGTCCCACAATACATTCTCCGTGGAGTTGCTGGAGGGATCACTTAGAAAAATAAATCAAGCATCATCTCTCCTCCGCTTGAAACCCTCCAGAGCCTTCTCCTTTTGATTAGAACAAAATTCAAACACCAGCCTCGGGGCATGAGCTGACTTGTTCTTTCATCTTGTATCACCATCTTCCCCTTTGCTCCTTACCTCTCAGTACACTGGCATCTTCATGTGTGCCAACCACAATGAGTCATTTTAGACTGGGATTAGAACAAAACTTCAATGACAGCCCAGCTCCCCTCTCAGCACTTAAGTCTTCTGGGCACAGGTGTAACATTTTACTTTCTTTTTTCTCTTTTCTGGCATGTTTCCTACTCTTGTACCTTACACAAGTTTTCTAAATTCAGAATACAAGTGGAATACGGCGTGTAGTAAAATTGCCCTTGAAAACCTCTTAGAATAACTCTAAAGTATATGGTGCAAAGGGTTTTGTTGCATACATAAGATGTTCCCTGTAATAACTATGCCTCATGAGGGATGAAAGTTACCAAGATACAACAAAGAAAACAGAAAAGCTACAAGCAGACATTTGTAAAATCAAACCATTCTTCCTTTCACATCACTATCAAATCTTTAGCTGTCAATGAGTGATGGTAAAAATCCCCAGGAGTCTCAGCCTGCTTTCAGGATTTACTTATTTTCCTTTAACACTTTTAGAGCCTAAGTACATGTTCATAGATTTCCTTGTTGTTAGTATTAAATGAGATCCCAGGGTAACACCTCACCCACGGATTAAGTATTCATTCCAGCTAATAAATGCACTTGTGATGTTGCAATACGCTCTATAGAAGATGCTCAACACAGGTGGAGCAGGAAGTTTTGGCCAAACATCAGGATTTTCAAAATAAAGTAACAGACCAAAATGCAGATTTTCAAAGGAATGTCTGAAAATTTGTTCAATAATGCCTAATGCTCTTCAACCTTTTTAAAAACATAAAAAATGTCAGGAGGAGGGAGCAGATGGGGAAATCATGGGTTTCAAAAGAGAGGAGATATTACCACCAGGTGGCAGGAGCGCACCCGTGGTTATCCACTGAACTCTAGCATAGCTACAGACAGAGGAGGTCCCTCACAGCACCAGCTGGTCCAGAGGCTGTGGTGTGTGGCCCATCACCCAGATAAAAAGGAGGAGAAGGGAACTCCTGGGTTAGGTGAGACTCACCTGTCCAGGTGATGTTGTCCTGCAGCCCAGTAGGGAGTCTCTGGGTCAGAGACCTCCAAAGGGCAAGAGCCATCTGGTGGGCTTTAGAGCTCCTAAGTTTGTCGTTATCTATGACTAGCAGATGTTGGATGCAGTTTGCAACGTATACAAAGCAGGACAGTTCTAAATGGTTAAATACCAGCTATGTTGGAAACAGTTGGATGCGTAAAAATTTGAATCTGGCTCTGGTATGCTTTTAAATGCTAATGTGTCCCAGGCTGCTGTGAAGATGGACACAACCTAGGGGCCAATATCCAGATGCCATTGTAAAAAAATGGAGGAGATTGTAAAGAAAAAAACAAACAACTCCTCGATGAGCTCTGTAGTTCCTAAAGTGGGGAGAAAGGGGAGATGCTACTTGCTTTATTTACTGCTTGATGGACCCTTGAAGAGCTCGAAACAGGAAGACACCATGGATTGTGATATGATCCCTGCCCCAGAGATATGCAGGTCTTAAGGAGGCCTCGTTACCTGTCTGGTGGCAGAGCTGTCTGGGGGCTGCTCTGTGAGGAGAGACCTGGGTGCTCAGAGTGCCCCAAAACTAAGAAGGCCATGTGTACCTGTACTCCAGGTGTGCCCAGTTCTAAGGAAGCTAGGTCTCTTATTGCCCAAATAGGGAGACTTTTGAAAGTGAACAGGAGAATATTAATAATTATGCCAAGACACCAGAAATTGCCTGAGACAGTTTTGGGAAAACTGGAATGGATGTCACCCTACACATGCAGCATGGAAAACCAAGCTGGAGCCTTTGTGAGCGAGCATCTATGTGGGGTGGTTGGCAGGATGAATAGAAGCAGGCAAGGAATTGGGGGCAGTAAAAGCAAATTATTCCTGAACCAGAGGAATTATCACTGGGGTCCAGCAGGGAACCATTGAGAAATATGTGAAAGTACCCATAAGAGAAAGCAGCAGCCTCTACTAAGGCCAGAGAGTAAAGCCAGCTTGGGAAGTTAGTGATGCCTCTAGGATCTTTACTGTCCCCTCCCTCTTTTCTCTCTTATTCAACCCCTGGAAGGTGTGAAACTGACGGACAGGCTGATGGAAGGGTGGGTGTGGGAAGAGAAGAAAGAGAGAATGGTTATCTTAATAAATGCTGAAAAACACACATCATTGACCAAAAAAATGTTGAGAAAATAAAAATGGTGGGTATAGACTTTAATTTTTTTTTTTTTTTGAGACAGAGTCTCGCTCTGTCATGCAGGCTGGAGTGCAGTGGTGTGATCTTGGCTCACTGCAATCTCTGCCTCCCGGGTTCAAGCGATTCTCCTGCCTCAGCCTCCCAAGTAGCTGGGACTACAGGTGCGCACCACCACACCTGACTAATTTTTTTATTTTTAGTAGAGACAGGGTTTCACCATGTTGGCCTGGCTGGTCTTGAACTCCTGACCTCGTGATCCACCTGCCTTGGCCTACCGAAGTGCTGTGATTACAAACATGAGCCACCGCGCCCAGCCATAGACTTTAATATTAAAAGCCAATAGTTTACATAATGAGGGGACCCTAGAAGGACCTCCACCAAGATCATTAACAAAGCAAGAATATGAACAAATTTCACTATTATTTCACAATGTTCTTGAGGAACTAGTTAGGGCAATTAGACAAAAGGAAACAATTTGGACATAAAGACTGAGATGAAGATATAAAACTCCATAAGCAGAGAACCTGATCATACATCTAGAGGATCAATGATAAAACTAACAAAAACACTACAGGATTTCAGCAAGACAGCAATGTACAACATTAACATACAAAAATCAATAGCATTTGTAGACACAAATATTCACCAGTTAGAAGATAAAATGAATCCATGGATCTCATTTATTACGGCAACAAGAAACAAACAATACATTTAAGGATAAATACACCAGAAATGTTTGAAGCCAACAAGCAGAAAAGTATAAAACTCTCCTGAAGATAAGAGGAGGTTTGAATAGCTATGTTCTTCCTTGTTCTAGATAGGGCATCTTTACATCACTGATATTTCAATTCTCTCTGACTTAATGTATAACTTTAATGCCACCTCAATAAAAATTGTAATGAACATTTTCTTGGAGCTATACAAGCTGATATTAAAATTTATATAGCAAAAGAAATAAACCAGAATAACCAGGAAAGTCCGAAATGCAAGTCTGGAAGGGAACTAGTCATGCCAGGTACTAAATCAAAGGGGGCAGTGAGGATCTGGTGCAGAAACAACCTGATCAATGGGACAGGACAGGGAGTCTCAAAATAGCCATAACTGCATATAAACATCTAGTATATGGTTACCACAGTATTCAATTCAAGGGGGCAAAATAGAGACTTTTTAATAAATGGTGTTGGAATAAATTATAGTTATTTGTTCAAAGAGTTATAATTTTATGCATTCCTTACACCATGCACTAGATGATCCTCCAAATGGATTAGACTGAAATGGAAAGAAAAAAAGGGTGAATTCCTATATCATCTGGGTCTAGGTAAAATTTTTTCAACTATGACCAAGTTCCACATGTAACTGAAAAATTAAAAACTTGACTCTCTCTCTATATATATATATTTTACTTTCATGGCAAAAATAATCCATTATGAGGAACATAAAAAGACAAATAATAAACAGGAAAAAATATTGATGATATATATTACAAACTCCAGAATCATAAAGACATCTTAAATAATGAGAAAAAAATGTAAAATGCTACAGAAAATTTCGCAAAAATGATGACTGGACAACTCAAAAAGTTATAAAAATATCTCTTAAATATATGTAAAGTGTTTAACTTCACACATACTAGGAAAAATTAAAATAAAAATTATTCTGAGATATAGTCTACCCATCAGATTGACAAAAAGCCAAAAGCTTGACAATAGACTCTTTTGACAAGGCTGTCAGGAGGGAAAAAAAAAAAAAAAACTCTCCAACACTGGTATCAAGAATGTAAACTACTTAACTCCAGAGAAAGAGTGATTGGCAATATCTAGTAGAACTACGTATGAATTTATGTTTTGGCCTAGAAATGCCACTTCTAGGAATTCATCCTAAAGACATGCATCTAATCGTACAAAAAATACATCTGCACAGATTATGCATTGCAGCATGATTTGTGATTGCAAGATATTAGAAACTGCCTAAATATTCAAGTATGGGAGAGCAGTTGAATAAACTGGGCTATCTACTGCAGTTGGGTATTCTGCGGCTGTAAAAAACATGCAGACTTTTTATTTTTTAATGAACTGATATAGAATGCTCTCCAGGAGATGTTATTTTAAAAAAATTTAAAAGGTAAGTGCAAAAGAGGTTATAAATTATTCAGCTTTAAAAGGAAACAGCATTATGACAGATGCCGCAACATGGCGGTAGCTTAAGGACATTATGGTAATTGACATAAGCCAGACACAAAAGGACACATATTGTATGATTACGCGCATATGAGGTACCTAGAATAAGCAAATTCTTGGAGACAGAACATAGAATGGTGTTTGTCAGGGGCTGGGGAGAAGGGAGGGATGGGGCGCTATTGTTTAATGAGTACAGCGTTTCAATTTGGAATGATGAAAAGGTTCTGAAAATGGATGGTGGCGATGGTTGCAAACAATGTGAATGTAGTTAATGCCACAGAACTGTATACTTAAAAATAATTAAAATGATACCTTTTGTTATGCATTGTACCACATTTAAAAAATAATAAAAAGAACATATGTAGCATGCTACATTTTATGTAAGATAAAAGAAAAAAATAGGAGAATACGCATATATCTGCATATATTTACTGAAATAATTACAGAAATGTATTAGGGCTCTCCAGAGAAGCAGAATCAACAGAACATACCTGGATATATGTATATATATATATTTTTTTTGAGACGGAGTTACACTCTTGTTGTCCAAGATGGAGTGCAATGGCATGATCTTGGCTCACCTCCATCTCCACCTCCACCTCCACCTCCACCTCCTGGGTTCAAGTGATTCTCCTGCCTCAGCCTCCCAAGTAGCTGGGATTACAGGTATGCGCCACCACACCAGGCTAATTTTGTATTTTAGTAGAGATGGGGTTTCTCCATGTTGGTCAGGCTGGTCTCGAACTCCAGACCTCAGGTGATCCACCCGCCTTGGCCTCCCGAAATGCTGGGATTACAGGTGTAAGCCACGGCGCCCAGCCTATATCTGGATATTTAAGAGGAGATTTATTATGGGAATTGGCTCATGCAGTTTTGGAGGTTAAGTCCCATAATATGCGTCTGAAAGCTGGAGAACCAGGGAAGCCAGAGGGGTAGTTAAGTCTGAGTGAGGCTGAAGGCCTGGGAACTAGGGGAGAAGATAGTGTAACTTTCAATCTAAGCCAAAGGGCTGGGAGGCAGAAGGAGGCTGGGGTGCAGGTGCGACACATATCCGCTGATGAGAGACTCTGGTCTGAGTCCGAAGGGCCAATACTAGGAGTTCCAATGTCCAAGAATAGAATAAAGATCTTCCAACTCAAGAAGACTGAATTCATGCCTTCTCCACCTTTTTGTTCTATCTGTGCCCTCAGTGGATTGTGTAGTATCACCCCCATTGATGAGGGCAACTTTTCTTAGTCTGCTATTCAAATGCAAATTTCTTCTGGAAATATCTTCACACATGTACCCAGCATAACGTTTTACCAGCTATCTGGCAATCCCTTAGCGCAGTCAAGTTGACGCAAAAAATTAACCATCACGAGAAAGAATAACCCAGAAAACGAGCTGATTAACTATGAGAAGTGGGGAGAAGGAGGTAGAAGGAACATCATACATCTTCAAAAGTTAAAGTTAATGTTATATGTATTCAAAAGTAAAATTAAATCTATAGGAATGATGAAGGGAAAAACAACATTTCAAGCAGGCTAAAACAAATGAACCTAATTGCATTTCAAATGAATACTGTCCTTACAGGGAAACTGGGGGAAAGGGAGGGAAGGAAGAGGACAGGAAGGAGACATAGGAATCAAACCAAGCAAAATATTAATCTGGGCAAAAGTGTACAGTTAGGATTTTTGTACATGATTTCTTTTTGAATATTTTTATTAATCCAAAGTATTTTCCCAATTAGAAAGGTAAAAAAGAAAAAAAATTAAAAAGACCAACAACTAAAACAAAACAATGCTGCCGAGACCTGGCTTCTGCTCTTGCTCTCAGCCTGGGGTTTCGCCTGGCAGCAGGGCTGCTTTGTGTTTGAAACCCTAGCAAGGCTTCTCTGATGAGACCTGCCCACATTGCTACTGCAGGAGACCTCCACTTTTAGCAATGGCTGTTATTACAGAACAATGCCTGGAGACATTTAGACTTCTAGAAATTTTGTTGTCTTTCTTTTGACAACTCAGCTCTCACTCTAAGAACAAGTGAGGCAAAGATTAGGAAACAAAGAAAATAAAAAGAAAGCAAGAAAAAACAATCCACATACTTTCTTGAGTTTTTGCTCCATTTGTCTGCATAGCTTGCATCATTCACATGTCCAAATCAAAGTTACTTTAACTCAAAATAAATCAGTGAGTGATTTATGATTGTTTTTGCATACAGAAAGAAACAAAGCAATGTTTTTCCAAAATATGTCTTGTTTTCACTTTGTTCCACAATGCATTATGGTAATATTGCAATATGTCTTAAGATAATACCTACATTTTGAGCACCTATTTTGAAAACTTTATGTCACTTAATCTTCAGAATCACCCTATACTTTATGTATTAGTATTGTTATCCCATTTTATAGATAAAGAAATGGAAGCTAAAATATACCAACTACTTATTCAAGGTCAAAAGCAAAACCAGGATTGTCTCATTTGGAAGACTACACCTTCATCTACTGCACGATTTTCCCTTCCAACCATTTTAGTTAAAAGAAAAGAACAATGTCTCACTAACTCAAACCAGTTTCCACTTCTATGGTACATTCTAGTTCTTTTGATTTGGGACATTCTGCATTTTTATCTAGATTTTGGTTCACAGAATTGCTCCCAAATAAAATTTTAAAATATTAACATTGTTTAGTTAAACAGAGTGAGATTAAAAGTGGATATAGAGTTTCACCAGTGGAGAAAACAATGTTTATCATTGTAGGCTTCTATTTTCTACTTCTTTCTTTCTGCCAGTGTGTGAATGCGTGGAGACACACACACACAATTGACCCACGGCTTGGCTCAGTGTCATTTAGACTCCTTTCTTCCACAAAGATCATCCTGTTAAAATCAGAACTGAAGGTCTGCACGAGCCCAATTTCAAACTGACAGAAAATAATGGGCTCCTTTGCACACCCATTAAATAAGAGCAAATATATGAAAACAGAGTGTCTTGAATTTTATAGGTGGTGGATAATCGTGAGTTGATCCCTGTGATCTTCTCCTGGTAGTTTCTGTACTTGGATGATGGTCAAGTTCTGATAATATTCTGATGACAGAAGAATGGGTTTTGAGCCTGCAAATTCGCCCACCCACATTGCCCCTCTCATCTACAGGAACCTTCCATGCTTTTTCCAAAATTGTGTCCCAAATAAAGAACAGTAAAAAAAAAAAAGCGTTTGTTTTTTATTTTGTTTTTTGTTTTTAAGGACATCCAAATATTTTATCCAGGAATCATAATCACCATCAGTGCAATTAGGTATATATTTAAGCTTCTGGCTGTGATAAATGACATCTGAGGTCATTTCAAGATGAGTCATTCCAAGTTGCCTGCAAATACAAATCTCAAGGTGCCACCTGGAAGGGCTGTGCTGTCCAAACTGAGAGATGTAGTTTTAAAAGGCCAGCCAAGCTCCCATTTATTAATGAATCCACGCATCCGTGGATCTCCACAGGGGAATAAGTCACACAGAGCATTCCACCAGCTAGGCTGCTCAGCCAGGAGAACATTTTACTTAGAATTATGGATGCTAGGCTTTCACTGAACAGTTAGAAAATGTACCAAAAGTGTCATGTGTCTCTAATAGAGCAGAGGAGCAGCTGCTCCTCTTGGAAAGGGACCCTGGCTTTCCAGTTAACCAGTAGTCGCCACTCAGTATTGTCTCACACAAGCTCACTTCACTCATTGTTGTGTGTCACCTTCCTGGCTCATGGGGGCATTTGACCTATATTTCAATGCCTTACAAAACTCTGATGAACAAACAGATTCCAGAAACACATATTTAGCACAGTATTTGCTAGGCATTCTGAGAAATAATAAAAAAGACCCTGCTCCCATGTAACAGGAAAGAAAGGTGACATATATACATTACAGCAATAGAAGATAAAAGTCAAAAAGAATGGCAAGAGAGACACAAAATTATTGGAAAACATTTTTTTCACTAGAGAGGAATATTGGGAAAAGATTCATGCATGCAGTGCCATGCAAGTCAGGCTCTGAAAGAGACACAGATTTGGAGATGCAAGGAGAGAGAATAGATGCACAGACTGGAGGAAACAATCATGGAAACAATGATGAGGGTTGCTCAGGAAATAGTGAGATGCTGCAGCTTTCAGAGACACAGTATATGGGAGAGACTGAAGGAAGGCAAGAGGGGGAAGCTGAGTTGGAACTGATGGTGAAGATCATGAAATGCCACGCCAGTAGGTCCAATCTTATTCCATATGCATTGGGGGAACCTTGAGCTGGGTGTGACATGATCTGAGCTCTGTCTTAGAAAGGATTTTGTGGCAGAGAGGAGAGTAATTTAAAGGGAGACACAGATGGCCCAGAAAGAATGATTAGGAGATGATATTAGTTTCTTATCACTGCTATACAAATGACCACAACCACAGTGGCTTAAAACACATTTATTGCTCTATCATGCTGGAGGTCAGAATTCTCAAAATGAAGGTGTCAGCAAGACAGCATCCCCACCAGGGCTCTAGGAGAGAAATCCTTTTCCTGCCTCTTCCGACTTCTAGAGGCTGCCTGCACTCCTTGGCTCGGAGTAGAGTCCTCCATCTTCAAGGCCAAAAGAGTCAAATGTCTCCCTCTCTTCCTCTTTCTCCCTATCCCTTCCTTTCACCTCTGCACCCACTGTCACATATTTGTCTTGTTCTCATACTCCCGTCTCCTTCTTTTGATTATATTTAGTACTTGCTTGGATAATCCATAATAATTTCCCCATCTCGAAATCCTTACCTCCAGCACACCTGCAAAGTCTCTTGTGCCAGGAGACAGGTCCCATGGATTAGGACGTAGATACTGTTGGGGACCAAAGATTCTGTCTACCAGAGACAAAAGCCACAGACCAGAAGGAGGCAGTGCTATCTGCAGTAAGGCAAAAAGAGTACACACAGGGATGGGGCTCAGCCCCACTGCCTCCTTTCCCTCTGTTCTGTACCTAGGGGTACACAGAGGAGATGAGGGCTCACAGTTGTGTGTACTGAATCCAAAAGGATTCTTGTTAAAAATAGCAGGAACGCCACTCGAATGCCTTCAGCAAAAAGTGGTAATTAATCAACTATTAATCAGCTCACAGTTGATTAATGAATTAATCAGAATGAATCAGTTGTCACTGGGAAGACCAGGGTTAGTGCACCCCTTGGTTCCTCGATTAGATTATCAGTGAGCTTGTCTCCTCTCTCAGTGTGTCTTTCCTTGTATGGGCTTCATTCTCAAGCAAACCCTCTCCATTGGTGATGTTTAGGAGCTCCACATCTACACTGACACAGCTCCATCACCCCAATAGAGAGGTGCCACATTCTTCCCAACAATCCCAATAGAAGGCTCCTGCTGAGCCTCATTGGGTAAACTTAGGGCATGTTCCCATCTCTGACCTAATTGGTCTTAGCAGGAGAGAATTTACTGACTGGTCAGGTCTGTCACAGGCTCACTCCTAAAGCAGGGAGGTGGGGAAGAATCACCCACTATTTACAGACACTGCTTAGAGGAGGAAAGACATTCTTAGTAGAACATTATGGTGGTATCATCAGAAGAGGAAAGGAAAGGAAGCCATAAACAGCAGATATCTACTTACTGGACAACAGAAGAAACAAAACAAGATAAAGCACTTCCCAAGGGTTCTTTTCTGGGTGCTGAATTCTAATTCTCTTCCACCTGTCTGTGCCTAAATAGAGAGGGGAGCCTCAGGCACATCAGGTGGTCTTGTGCCTGCATCCCACTGCCTTGTTTGGGATTACAGTTTCCTGTTAGCCTATTTTATTTAATTATCTCAGTTCATATGCTTTCAGCAGGAGTTTAAAATAAATTTACAACAGAGCACTTTCATTCCAGCCAAGCCACAAGGCCTGCTGACAACTCTTTAATTGAAAAAGTGTTTTCAATTTTCAAAGAGACCTGGGATTATATTGAAAAATGATCCTGCTCTTCTGTCATTGCCATTACACTGTATCACCAGACAGGTCCATAAACACTGATTTGACGTTAGAAATGTTTGATAATGTTGGCCAGGAGCTACATTATTCATACACAAACAAATACATACTTATATCAATAATGTATACAAATAGATTTCTTCCTCTAAATTATATTTAGTGACTTAGTAGTTGGTCCATAAGACACATTCGGTCATAAAAAAATTTTAATGTTGCTGCTAAGGATGTGAGGACACGGTTAGGTCAACAATGGTGTGCCCATTAAATGACATATTTTTCAGCAGTTAAAAAGCCACTTCCAAAAGCTTACCAGAAAATGTTTCTGAGCTATATTTTATACTTAAAATGCTGATAAATATGAAAATATATGTATTAATATATCACAAGGCTCAAAGTTAAAATGTTGAAAAGGATTTACAATGAACATTGTTCTACCATTCCTGTCATTCGGCTCCCTAGTTCCTCGCCCAAACAATTGTTTCCTTTTTTTGTGTGTCCTAACAATGTGTTTACATAAGCAGATATATTTATATATGTGTGTATTTATGGGTACATACATTTATATATGTATGTGTATTTGTATGTTATAAAATTATATTTACATAGACAGGTGACCTTAAAACAACACACAGCTATGCACTGTGCAGGTCCACTTACAAGTGAGTTTTTTTCCATAAACATATTACAAAATGATCTGGAGATTTTCAGCAATCTGGAAAAACTCAGAAACCACGTCACCAATAAATAGCAAAACAAAATAAGAAAAAGTTAGGTACGTCATGAATGCATAAAATATACATAGATACCAGTCTATTTATGTGTTAATCAACTGTTGATGTTATCAGTAAGGCTTTTGGTCAACAGAAGGCTGTTGGTAGTTAGGTTTTGAAAGAGTTGAAAATTATGTGCGGATTTACTGCCATGTGGGGAGTTGGTGCTTCTGACCCCTACATTGGTCAAGGGTCACCTGCATCAGTATGAGTAGTTGCATGTGTGTGCATTCTGAAACACTATGGTAATAGAAGAAAAGGAAAGTGTGGAAGAGCAGATATGATAGGTTCCAATTTGTGTGAAAGAGGAAAAATCTAAATATATGTAGGTTTGTAGATATAGTTGCTATTTAGAAGGACATAAAGTAATGGAATAAGAGAGAAAAAATAATTTGAGCTGTTTACATTTTGCAGTTTTTTTAAATGTCTGTTACATGCACATATAAAAGTTTAATGAAAAATCTATTTTTCAAGGCTTTGATATTCATGACATTTCTTCCACTTATAAACAGTGTCTTTCTCTTTCCTAGAGTCTGGCTGGCCTGGAACGTGCCATGACTGTACAATATGATAGGAGGGAGACTGTACCAGCTCCAAGCCAGCTTTTCTGATACCTGCAGCTTCTGATTCCTCTGGAGGAGAAGTCAGCTACTAGGTAAGAAGTCAACTCACACTGAGGCCGCCATGCAGGGAGGAAGCCTAAGCCAGCCCAGTGGGGAGGCCATGTGGTGGACAACTGAGGAACCCAGTGGACAGGGCAAATTGAGACCCCAGACATGAAACCAGCTGAGTCATCCCAGTCCTTTGTATGATTGCAGCCACGGCTCCCATTATTGTGGCTCAGAGATGATCCATATCCCCTCTCCCCTGAGCAAATTCTCATCCAAAGAATCATGAGGAACTAAAATGGTTGTTCTTTCATGTTACTATGTTTAGAGGTGGTTTGTTCCATTACAATAGACAGCTGAAGCAAGCATGCAGAACCTTACTTTCCAGAAATGGAGAAGGACAGTGGAGGGTTTGTGTGGATGAGAAGCAAACACAAATATTTCTTTCCCTTTGTGGCTGAGAAGTATTGCAGGTGCAGTTTTAAAAGCCCCATGGATAAACAGCTCATGTAGGTCCAGGTCCAGGCTTTGAATGCACTACAGTTCCCTTGTTGGAAGCACCAGCCTCAAAGCGAATAAAGCAAATGTATTGATCACCCTGTATGCCACTGAGTGACATGGAAGGTTTTAACAAGAGACCATCTCCTCTACCTCACTGTGAACTGAAGAAAGACAAACCACAACTCCTTGGAACTTCATTTTCCCCTAGTATGGAGACATTCTTATCCTGGGACAACTCCACTGTCTTATTGAAAGCATCAAATAAGATAACTCTGGGTGAAAGTGTTTTATACACTGTAAAGTGTCGTACAGACCTGGTGACTTTCTAGATCCTATTTTGAAGAAAAAACAATTATTCAGACCTTGAATTACAGCAGAACTAAGAAATAGGAGGTAGGCTGGCATAAGACCTAAGATTGTGTGTGTGCAGAGCAACGGTCTGGGCTGACACCTTGGCTCTTCTATTTATTTCCTGCATGGCCTGAAGAATGTGACTTTATTTCTCTGTACCTTACTTTGCTTATCTATAAAATAAGGATGATAATACCCACCTCTCATCATGCCATAAAACTTACATAAGCAAATACCTGTGAAGTGCTTCAAACAATGCCTGGCACATAGCAATTGTGCTGCTATTTTAACTATAATAATAATTTAAGGCTTTCAATATCTTTATGGTCCTCCAAACACTTTGTTCTGACAACAGAGTGGTTGTCATAAAATTTAAAACTTGGAATGACCTTACTATTGATTAATCTAACCCAACCCTCTCCCGGTATCATCAATAGCCTCATCAATCGCCCCTCATGCTTGCACATTTTCTGAAATGGGAACTCACTGTCTCCCTGGTAGCCTCTATCCTTGTTGTGGGGCTCTGATAATTTGCTTCAAGTAAGTGTCCAACACTGAAGTTGCTGAGTCAGACGGCATATTCACTTACAAGCCTTTCAATTCTAATTCCCAATGTGTCCTTAAGAAAGGTGATATTCATATACAGTACTACTCATAAAGTGCCCAATTCAACACAACCTGAAGCAAGGAGAGTTGGATTAAAAGCCACTTTCTAATTTGATCAACAGAACAATAACTATTCTTCTTTCCTATTTTATATTCATTATAGTACTAATGAAACTAAGTATTTTTTCTCAAATATTTACTGCCTTACTTTTTCCATTTTGACTTGCCTGTTAATGTCCTTTATCTATTTATTTGATGCATTTGCTTTTACCTTGATTAATTTATAGATTCCCTGTCTTAAGCATACTCGTTCTTTGTTAAAAAGTTTGAAAATAGTTTTCCCAACATGTCATTTAAATTTTAGTTTTGATTTTGGTCTAATGTGATAAACAGATATTTTAAACTGTTTTGTAGCTAAGTTATTTTTTATGGTTTATTCTTTAGCTTGTATGATACAGAAGCCTTCCTTGCCTATACATCACATCAATATTCACTTCTGGGTTTCTCTCTGCTCATTATAGGGGATTTCATTTTGACATGACAACTAATGCATTTTGTGGCACTAAAGCCCATAAGGTTATCCTTCTCTCATTCCATTAAGACCAGGGGGTCTTTATTGCTTCACAAAGGAAGGGCAGTTAAAAGGGAAATAAGACACGGAAATATGGGAGTGTGTGTCGCTGAGAAGGGTCCCGCTTTCAGCCTTCTATCTTCCCTCAACAATCCTGAGCCTTTACCTGGTATGTCCCAGGACAGAAACAGAGTCCTGCTGTCTTTCCCAGGGAATGTCATGGAGGGGTGCCAAGGCTTCAATAATTTGTTCTAAAAATGGCTTTGGAGAAAGATGTCATGATGTGTTTTTAGCTAGTTGCGCCTGAGACAGCTACAGACTTTAATCTCATCAAGTGCAGTGACTGGAGCAGCCAAATATTTTTCATAAGAAAAATGGGCAAGAAATGACTGCAAGAAAGCCCAGGAGGTATATGCTTTCTCATCAGGGCAAAGACTGAATCCTCAGCACTGTCTAAGCTGTCACATAATACATAGACATAAGTCCTGGACCATTACCAGAGAGAGACACAGAGATGACTGAGAAAACTTAAAATAAAAAAAAAAAGATTAAAAGAGCCCCATCAGGTCAATACCTAGATGTCGGCCTTGTGAGACTGAACAGAGAACCTCGTCATGTCTGCCTGGACTTCTGGCCCCCAGAACCACGAGCTCATAAATTGTAAGCCTCCAAATTTACGGTAAGATCTTAGACAGTATAGAAAACTAATATATAAGTTATTTTATAATGGCTTGACAAGTTGAGGAAGCATTTGCTGTACATCTCACATGAGCTACTTTAGTAGAGCAATACACAGCACTGTCTGATCTCTCTCTCTCTTTTTCAAACACACACACACACACATAATTGATGCAATGCGTGTGTGATGTAACTCCATTATAGGAAAAGAAGGTCTACCTATTTAGAAGCAAGCCTACCCAGAATCCAGATGTTGATTTTTAATACCATTCTCCCATGAAAAGAACCACAGTTTCCTGGGAAAATGACTGATTCTAGGACTGAGACAGAGAATATGTAAAATGAGGCTGGAGCATCTTGTTGTGCCAGAACGTAAGGAAGTGCTCAAAAGAAAAAAAAAATCATTGTTGGGGGTATGCAAAGGTACAAACTGAAAGCGTTCTCAGCAGCCAGTGCTAGACAAATTCATGCAACAAAATAAATAAAATACTTTTGGGTAACCCAAAGTACAAAGAAAATATTCATGAGACATCTTGACATAAATGCTTAAATCAATCAATAGAAGAGAAGAAACAAGTCTCTTGTGTAGAATAATTCCAGGTAATTTATGTAGATTGTCTGCCCTCAAGGAGGTTCAGCATAACTCATCAGTCCTTCAGTGAGGACTGGACCTAAATAACCATAGCCATGGTGACATGTCAGGACAGTTAGTTCTTTTTCATCCTCATTTAGCAAGAGCCCAAATTGTTCTCATCTGTTTCCCATGGCTTCATGGAGTAAAAAAATAAAATTCTAAATATGAGTTTCTTCTCTGCCGTCACTATTAGCATCACTAGTACATACCCTATATGCAATGCTTCAAAGAGGGTTTTTCCCTGTGAGCTTCTGTGGTAGGGAATTTCATTCTCACCATTTTACGATCCAGGAAAGTAAGGTGTGGTTAGAGACACTCGTTGCAAGGTAACTCAGATATTAAGTAGTTGACTTGTGGTTTTCTGGTGGAGGGAAGACCTACCTGTCCCCAGTCCCTCCACACATTGGTTAGGATGCTGAGACCAGTGTTGAGATTGTTGATCCAAAAATGCACATAAAATGTATGTAACAGTTTATTAGTCACAACTGGGACTTTTGGGGACAGCAGGATTGTTCCTAGTACCAATGGAGCCCATGGCTTGAGTGGAGCAGAGGGTGGGGGATAGAGGGTGGGGGATAGAGGGAGGGGAATAGAGGGTGGGGGGTGGAGGGGGATAGAGGGTGGGGGATAGAGGGAGGGGGATAGATGGTGGGGGATAGAGGTAGGGGGATAGAGCATGGGGGATAAAGGGTGGGGGATAGAGGGAGGGGGATAGAGGGAGGAGGATAGAGGGTGGGGGATAGAGGGAGGGGGATAGAGGGTGGGGGGATAGAGGGAGGGGGATAGAGGGTGGGGGATAGAGGGAGGGGGATAGAGGGTGGGGGATAGAGGGAGGGGGATAGAGGGTGGGGGATAGAGCATGGAGGATAGAGGGTGGAGGATAGAGGGAGGGGGATAGAGGGTGGCAGATAGAGGGTGGGGGGATAGAGGGTGTGGGATAGAGCATGGGGGATAGAGGGTGGGGGATAGAGGGAGGGGATAGAGGGGGGGACAGAGGGAGGGGGATAGAGGGTGGGGGATAGAGGGAGGGGGATAGAGGTAGGGGGATAGAGCGTTGGGGATAGAGGGTAGGGGATAGAGGGAGGGGGATAGAGGGAGGGGGATAGAGGGTGGGGGATGGAGGGGGGATAGAGGGTGGGGGATAGAGGGTGGGGGATGGAGGGGGATAGAGGGAGGGGATAAAGGGTGGGGGATAGAGGGAGGGGATAGAGGGAGGGGGATAGAGGGTGGGGGATAGAGGTAGGGGGATAGAGCATGGGGGATAGAGGGTGGGGGATAGAGGGGGGGACAGAGGGTGGGGGATAGAGGGTGGGGGATAGAGGGTGGGGGATAGAGGGAGGGGGATAGAGGGTGGGGGATGGAGGGGGATAGAGGGAGGGGATAAAGGGTGGGGGATAGAGGGAGGGGATAGAGGGAGGGGGATAGAGGGTGGGGGATAGAGGGAGGGGGATAGAGGGAGGGGATAGAGGGAGGGGGATAGAGGGTGGGGGATAGAGGTAGGGGGATAGAGTGTGGGGGATAGAGGGTGGGGGATAGAGGGGGGGACAGAGGGTGGGGGATAGAGGGAAGGGGGATAGAGGGTGGGGGATAGAGGGTGGGGGATAGAGGGAGGGGGATAGAGGGTGGGGGATAGAGGGAGGGGATAGAGGGTGGGGGGATAGAGGGAGGGGGATAGAGGGTGGGGGATAGAGGGAGGGGGATAGAGGGTGGGGGATAGAGGGTGGGGGATAGAGGGAGGGGGATAGAGGGTGGGGGATAGAGGGAGGGGGATAGAGGGTGGGGGATAGAGCATGGAGGATAGAGGGTGGAGGATAGAGGGAGGGGGATAGAGGGTGGCAGATAGAGGGTGGGGGGATAGAGGGTGGGGGATAGAGGGTGGGGGATAGAAGGTGGGGGATAGAGGGAGGGGATAGAGGGGGGGACAGAGGGAGGGGGGATAGAGGGTGGGGGATAGAGGGAGGGGGATAGAGGGTGGGGGATGGAGGGGATAGAGGGTGGGGATAGAGGGTGGGGGATAGAGGGTGGGGGATAGAGGGAGGGGGATAGAGGTAGGGGGATAGAGCGTTGGGGATAGAGGGTAGGGGATAGAGGGAGGGGGATAGAGGGTGGGGGATGGAGGGGGGATAGAGGGTGGGGGATAAAGGGAGGGGGATAGAGGGAGGGGATAGAGGGAGGGGGATAGAGGGTGGGTGATAGAGGTAGGGGGATAGAGCGTGGGGGATAGAGGGTGGGGGATAGAGGGGGGGACAGAGGGTGGGGGATAGAGGGAGGGGGGATAGAGGGTGGGGGATAGAGGGTGGGGGATAGAGGGTGGGGGATAGAGGGAGGGGGATAGAGGGTGGGGGATAGAGGGAGGGGATAGAGGGAGGGGATAGAGGGAGGGGGATAGAGGGTGGGGGATAGAGGGTGGGGGATAGAGGGAGGGCAGCCTTGCCTCTGATTGCTAATGGGAGGCAGGCTGGGGTGGGCTCCAGTGCACAAGTCCTGGCTTGCATGGCTCAACTCCCTACAGTGCTGAGGGAGGCGATGCTGGACTTTCTTACCAGGACAGGTGAGGGTGGGGGCTTGAAAGGGGTCAGGGGCCAACCATTAAAAATGGAATCAGACTCTGTATCACAGCAGTGATGTAGAATATTAAACTCAGCTCTCAGGACACCAAAACCACTAGGGGGTTTCTACCCCACAGCAGCTGCCATATACAACACGGTCATGGAGACACACACAGACCATATGCAGGCAACAGCTTGCATTTTGAATATTACTCACCACTGTGAGTCCTGGGCTGCATCACTCCTCACTGGTGAGCCTGTCTCCTAGGCACTCTGGGGATGATCAAAGTACCTGTATTGTAGGACTGTCCTGAGAAGTAAATGAGAGATGCTTAACTTAGAGCCTGCTGTGTTGTAAATGCATAAACATGGAACTCAGTTAATCATCATTCACTCAACAGCATCGGTCTATCTTCCTGCCCACAGGGTTCTGCATCCAACCTCAGGCAAAGGTGCAAGTCATGGGGGTTTCCCAGTGAGTGGAATGGCCTGATGGGCGTGTCATCTCTACTCCTCCATGGCTGGGAAATGTGGATGAGTCATTTGCTTAGCAGGACTTTACTGAGCACTTTGTGTTTTTGTTTTGTTTTGTTTTTGTAATTGTGTGTGCTAGGCACTGTTCTAGGTGCCACAGACACAGCATGAAACAAGATAGGCAAGATTCCTGCCTTGGGCAGTGTACATCCCAGTGGGATGAGTCAGTGATGCCCATATTCACAAATGAATAAGCAAGGTGGCTTAAAACAATATCAGTTTGCTGTCTTATACTTTTAGAGGTCAGAGTCTAGAAATTAGTCTGTGTGGCTGAAATCAAGCTATCAGCAGGGCTGTGTTCCTGTTGGAGGCTCCAGGGGAGCATCTACTCCTGGCTCTGTGTTCCTGTCGGAGGCTCCAGGGGAGAGCGTACTCCTGGCTGTGTTTTCCAGTTTCCAGAGGCCACCTGCAGTCCTTTCCTTAGGTCCCTCTGCCAGCACTCCTGACACTCTAACCTCTGCTATTGTGGTCACCTCTCCTCTGACTCTGACCCTCAGTCCTTCTCCTTATTAGAAAACATGATTACACAGGACTCACACAGATAATCCTGGGTGATCTCCCAATTCAAGGCACTGAATCACATCTGCAAAGTCCCTTTTACAAAATAACATGTTCAACAGCTCCAGGGACTAGCCTATGGACATTTTTAGGAGCCCTACTACACTTGCATATTGCAAAACTTTGTATATTAAACCTATGAAAAATGAGTTCAAATCAAAATCACACATCCAAATGGCCTACAATCTCCAGGAAGATCAGATACATGGGTCAAAAGGAAGAGGCATAGCAATGGAAATTTATATTAATTTGCTCAAACTGACATAACAAAGCTCCACAGACTGGGTGGCTTAAACAGCATAAATGCATTTCCTCACAGTTCTGGAGGCTGGAAGTCTGAGATCAAGGTGTCTGTAGGGTGACTTTCTTCTGAGGCCTCTCTCCTTGGCTTGTAGGTGGCCGTCTTCTCCCTGTGTCCCCACATAGTCTACTCAGTGTCTGTATCCTAATCTCCTTTTTTTTTCTTTTTTCTTTTTCTTTTCTTTTCTTTTTTTGTTTTTTGTGATGGAGTCTCACTCTGTTGCTCGGTCTGATGTGCAGTGGTGCAATCTTGGCTCACTACAATCTCCGCCTCCCAGGTTCAAGTGATTCTCCTGCCTCAGCTTCCAGAGTTCACAGGCACCTGTCATCACATCCAGCTACTTTTTTTTTTTTTTTTTAGTAGAGATAGGGGTTTCACCACATTGGCCAGGCTGGTCTCAAACTCCTGACCTCAGGTGATCCGCTGGCCTCAGCCTCCCAAACTGCTAGGGTTACAGGTGTGAGCCACCGTGTCTGGCCTAATCTCCATTTCTTATAAAGGCACCAGTCAGATTGGATTAGGACCTGCCATAACAACCTCATTTTTATTAAATTACCACTTCTCTAAAGACCCTCTCTTCAAATACAGTTATATTCTGAGGTCCTGAAGGTGAGAAGTTGAACATACGTATTATGAGCACACACAATCCAGCTCATGACAGAACCCAGAGCAGCAGAGTGGGCTGCAGTGACAGGAGGAGGAACTGATCTGTCTAAGGGGGCGACAGCTCCAGCCAGTGGTCACCCCATAGAAATGTGGGCTTCTGAGACATAATAGTCTCCTGGATTTTCAACAGAAGTCCAATGAAAGTTTTCATTTTGTTTGTTTTTGTGTATGTTCTTGCTTACTGTTTAAATAAGCCATCCTGGGTTAGCAACCTGCATACCCAGACTCTCTCTTATCCCTCTGGACACGCTGTGGGAGAAGAGAGGGGGCTTCTTTTCTCCTGCTTTGTCTCCCCTCCCTTCCATCCAGGTTGGTGATGAGTTGTAGAGGGAGAAGATAGAAGATGCAAGAAAGAGGCTACCTGCCTAGGACTGGCATGAGATGGTGCAGGTGCTCTCTGGGCAGGGCACATGTTGAAAGCAGCTGTTTTTGCAAAACATCCCCATACAAAAAAAGGAGTAGAGGCCACCACCCTTGACTCGTCCAGCTCCTACACTGGACTTTGACTTCCATGAGGGCTGCATAGAGGCTGACTTTTGACTCTAACCCCTGGGATGGGCACAAGGCCAAGCCACAGACAGAAGTCAGTAGATACCTGTTAAATTTATGAATAAGTCAAAGAAATGCCTTGGAAAGAGAAAGATGTTCTATCAGGAAATAACCCCCTGAGAAATCTTGCAGGTCTGCACGTGCGCTGAGGCTGAGGGGCCTCTGGGACTTCAGTCAAGGCACCCAGATGAGTCGGTGGCACCCTCTGCCTGCTCTATCTTGATGACAATGAGAGGGATGATCTCAGTTTCCTCTCTGAGCAAGAGAAACACAGATTTTAAAGGATCCAGCAATCTGTGTTGAGAAACTACTTACAAATGACTTGTTTTCATTGGTCTGTATAGGAGTATCAAAAGCTCTTCAATTTCTTCAATAATTTCATCAGAATCCACTAATGAGATAGCTGAACCAAGATATGGGAATTGCAATCAACAAAATCAGGGAAAAGGAAAAGCTCTTTGATTTACTCACATTTGTTCCTTCCTTTTTCTGCAGTCTTATTTGAATGGGGACAGCTAGCTAATGACTATTCCAATTCTGCCAAAACCTGAGAACGATGCCAAAATTCAACTGACAAAATATTAACAAGATACAACTCTAAGGAAAGGTTGGCAATACAATTACATGCACAAAGAGTAAACAAATGCTAGCCTTTCTCTCTAATTGTCGCATGAGAAGACATTCCATGGTTTCAGGCACATAAGAGCTACTTCAGGAATCAAAGGCTCACTAAGGAAGAGCGGGGATTTGTGATGTAATAGGAAACATTTCCAAGCCTTCATTACAGAGCAAGGGAAAACTGAGATTCCTCAAGCATCATGAAACGAGATCTTCCCCGAGTCTAAGAGGAGCCCACTAGAGAGGCATTATAGGCGTTTATGCCTCTCTAGGATGCCAGGCAGGCTTCAGGCTGTAACCCTGGAGGCTGGTGAGGAACCTACAAAAACAGGAGCCCTCAGAGCTGGGGCCAGCTCCTTCCCCATGACTTCCTCCAGGTAAACCCTCTGTGCACCTAAGGCCTGAAAGGCTCACAACAGGGTTAAAATAAAAGCTGTCTTTTAGTGACAGGGTTGAATCTTCAAATGCCTGGTGTGCACAAAACATACACAAACTTATTTGCAAGTAAGCAAAAGTTAGCATCAACAGCCACTGCAGCACCCCGACACAGTACAATAAAGAATATTTGTGCTTCTGAAACAAAGGTGGGAAGTGGATTTCCTGGAATAATAAATTAGTTACTGCATGTTCATCCAGAGAACCAGACCCACCAAGAGCCATTGGCTGCAGGTCTAAGCATTCTTTGGATCTATTTATTTTAATTCAAATGAAATCTATCTTTTTTATTTTAAAAATAGCATTGGAGTCACAGGAGAAAATAAGAAAGGTTTCTCCTACAAGTGAAGTTTACTATTCATTTCTACCTCTTTTTCTGTCTAAAGTGTTGATGCTGCCCTCATGGAAGTCAAAGTTGAGTGAAGGAACTGGATGAGTCTACGTTGGTGGCCTCATCTAATCTTAGCCATTTAGGAATACAGGTGATTAAAGGCAGCTTCCCTGCTGGGCGCGGTGGCTCATGCCTGTAATCCCAGCACTTTGGAAGGCCGAGGCGGGTGGATCACAAGGTCAGGAGACCAAGACCATCCTGGCCAACATGGTGAAACCCTGTCTCTACTAAAAATACAAAAATTAGCAGGGCGTAGTGGTGCATGCCTGTAATCCCAGCTACTCAGTAGGCTGCGGCGGGAGAATCGTTTGAACTTGGCAGGCAGAGGTTGCAGTGAGCCGAGATTGCGTCACTGCGCTCCAGCCTGGCGACAGAGTGAGACACAGTTTCAAAGAAAAAAAAAAAAAGCAGCTTCCCGCTTCCCTTTCCTCAGCTCAGAGGCGGATCAATGTACAAGAACAAATAAAATATGGAAAGACAGATACAGTTTTTATTATTTTCTGGGGAAAAGTCCAATCTCTAGGCTCATAGAGTCAGTGTTTCCATAGCCAACCAAGGATGGCCAGTCCTGGGGGCTGTACCTAATTAGCATAGGATGTCCGGCTGCTGTTGACCACCAAGGTCTCAGAACAGAGCAGCCCTACTGGAGAGGCAGAGAATAGAGAGAGGATGAAGTTATGGGCAGGTAAGTAGCATATTCTTTTTTCTCTGAAGGGGACCAGATAAAATTGCTTGAACTTTACTAACTAAATGTTTTATGATACAGAAAATAGGCAGATTTTTTTTTCTCAATAAGAGCCAGGTGTTACTTAAGATGGTTGTCTTTACTGAATGGAAGGGAAAGAGAGAGAGAGAGAGGGAGAGAGAGAGAGAGAGACGTGAAAGAATGCAAATCCCTAATAGATCATCATATGCACTCATTTTATCTCCAGTTGTCTGTATTTTGTGGCGATTATTAAAGTTTCTCTGTATTCCTAATGCCCTTTTGTGAATTGTTAATACAATATTACTAAATCACTTTTCTCTATTATTATTATTATTTTTTTTTTGAAATGGAGTCTCACTCGGTCACCCAGGCCAGAGTGCAGTGGTGCAATCTTGGCTCACTGCAACCTCTGCCTCCTGTGTTTAAGCAATTCCTGGCCTCAGCCTCCAGAGTAGCCGGGATTACAGGCACCTGCCACACCACCCAGCTAATTTTTGTACTTTTAGTAGAGATGGGGTTTTGCCATGTCAGCCAGGCTGGTCTCGAACTCCTGACCTCAAGTGATCTGCCCACCTCAGTCTCCCAAAGCGTTGGGCTTACAGGCGTGAGTCACCGTGGCTGGCTAAATCATCCTTCTATTTAAATAAAGGCATGGCCCTAGAATCTATTTATCTCCGCTCATTTCCAGTTAAAACCGTGCGCTGAAGCCTCGGCCCCTCCCTCTTGTGTGGGCCATGGTTTGCTGAGGTTTGTATTTATGCATTTCAGAAATCTCTGCAGGCTGCTGGAATCATTATCTCTGGGGGTTCAGAAATTCCAAATGCACTGATCTTCTTCTGCAATACTACAGCAATGACTTGCCCTTACAGTCTTCTCCATCTTTGTAATGTCAGCTAAGTCAATAGATTTAAAAAGAAATTGAAAATGCCGTCATTGGTGCCAATTGCCACGAAGAGCAGGCTTCAGTGTGGCTTTGTAAAGAAGTAATGAAGGTGGGAGGGGGGGGATTTTGTTCCCTGGTGGATGTTTTTATTTTGTTTTGTTTTCTCTCTCTCAGTTCGAACATTCTACAGACACAAGTAACATAAATTCCAGTTCCACATGTTTTAACTGAAAAAGGAAAAACAGCTACTAGAGGTTGTTGTTTGTTGACTCACATCACTGAAAAGACCAGGGTCTGAACTGGCTCACCTCAGGCTTGCCTAGAACCTGGGCTTCGTGACTCAGTTTTACTCCCTCTCTTCATTCCATCTTCTGCTGGGCTGGGTGAGTCCATTTGATGTAGCCTTATAGATTCAGGACATACCATCCACTTTTAACATTTTAAACAGAAAAGAAATCATCTCTCTCTCGTGGCTCCAGAAAAAAAATACCCAGATTCACTCTGCTTAGACCAATCTGGGCCCATCCAGCGATAATATCTGTGACTGTGGGAACCATCTGACTAGTCATATCTGGGTTCCATGATCCATCCCTGAGTCTGGACGTAGAGACCACCTGAATCACATGGACTGAGAATAGGGGAGAAGTCTTCACTCCATAAAATCGGGTGCCTCTTACCACACACACAAAATGTAGAGGGATGGGTGTTTGCAAATATAAGTATTTGCAACCAGTCGAATTTAATTTAAATCACTGAATTGTAGAAACAAACAGTGTCTGCAGGCTATAATTATCTTTTGGCCTTCTAATTTGCAGCATGTGACTAAAATACCATTTATTGTTAGATCTTTAGGTTATCCCCAATTTTACACTATTATAAACAATGTGGATGTGAAAATATTTGAACTGAAGTTCTTGAAAACAATATGTGATTAATTCCTTAGGGTAAATGTCAATAACTGAGACTTCTGTTAAAGGTAATCTATTTTCCAAAGTTTTTGATATGTGTTGTAAAAATGTCTTAGAAAACACTTGAAATAACTCAGGACCTCACTAGCAGCATATGTGGGTGTTGGTCTCTTGATATATTTCACACTTTTTACTATGATTGTATTTCTACATATGTATTAATGTAACTAATGTATAGTAATTTTGTCATCAAAATTCACACATATTTGATTTTTGGTAAGCTTGAACATCTTTCATTTCTGTAGTGCTTGTTTATGTTTCTTCTTTAGTCAATTATCCATTCTTGTTATTTGTTCATTTGTCTCTTTTTCATTTGTTTGGATTCTTTATATGTCAAAGGTATTATCAAAGGTTCCAATTCTACACCTTATTTTTTAAAAATCTAAAAAATAATTTGAATACAAGTTTAGCTTTTAATCACATGAGCCACAGTATTTCTGAAAATGATTCTGAGCTTTAAAATATATGTCATCCCAGTCTAAAATGAAAGTACACTCTTTGATAAGAGGTATATGATTAAAATTCCAGGTATAATACATCCTACTTAAATAACAGCCTGTTTCCCAATATACATACCACAAAAGTGTGTTCTTAGAAGCCCTTTAATCAAATGCTTATTGTTTTCTAAGTTTAACTTCACATATATTTCCCATCAATAAAGTGTAATTTTACCTGTGATTAGTACCACTAAATCTGACCTCATGCTGTTCCTACCCTTGTACTTAGTAGTCTCATGATACCAAACGAAATGTAATTAAACAACTTAACACATGGAAGAAAAGTTAAAATAGTCTATGACATACAGTAACACATAAGTGACTTATGTGATAATCATGTCCCTACATACTATAATTTTTCAAATGTTTGTTCTTGCTCACACATCTTCAACCTGAAATTCCTCTTCCATTCCTTTTGCCAGTGTCATTATCTCTTCTGAAAACTTTTTGTGAACCTCTTTGCTGGCTAAGTCCACCTCTTCTGTGTTTCCTAACACTCTATGCAGACCTCTATTGTAGCACTGGACATCGTATATCTAAATTACTTATGTATTACTCAGTCTCTTAAAATATGAACTCCTTGAGGAAGGGGAATGTCTCTTATTTAAACCTGAATTTTCAGGGTTTTACACAGTCTCTGTCACATAGTAGCAACTAAATATATGCCTTACCTGCAAGAATAAGAAAACAACTGTTCTAAAATCCCTGATATTTTATTTTATTTTATTTTTTGAGATGGAGTTTCGCTCCGTCTTCGCCCAGGCTACAGTGCATTGGTGTGATCTCGGCTCACTGCAGCCTCCACCTCCTGGGTTCAAGCTATTCTCCTGCCTCAGCTTCCCGAGCAGCCAGGATTACAGGCATGCACCACCACGCCCAGCTAATTTTGTATTTTACTAGAGATGGGGTTTCACCATGTTGGTCAGGCTGGTCTCAAACTCCTGACTTCAGGTGATCGGCTGGCCTCGGCCTCCCAAAGTGCTGGGATTACAGGATATTTTATTTTACTTAGAAGTAAAAGGCTAAAGAAGGAGTCATTTTTTTTTGTTTTAATTTAAGACGTGTGAAATGTCAGACTCTAGCTCCAGCTATATTTACAGTTCAGCCACCATTCATAAAAGTAGAAGGACTTATGAAATATGCATCTCCCACGTGGTCATAATTCATCACTCCTCACAGAGGGAGCTGTGTTCCTCCCTGGGGCTGGGAGTAATGCCATTCTGAAATGTGCAGGCTATTTTAAGACTGGGACCTTTACTTTTCTCACCTCAGTCACAGGCTCTGGCTCAGAAATCCTATTTTTGGCTCCCCCTGCCTGCACACTTTTCATGCCTGTATTGGATAGAATGCGCTCTGTGACTTGGGGAAAGTCAGTACGAGGCATTCCTCATTAGAGGAATTAATGCCAGTTGCTGAAAAAGGGAACTCCTGAGACCTTATTGCCTTAAGGCAGTGAAATTTTACTTCTCCTGTAAGTCCGGCATGGTCAGGCCACTCCTTTCATTGCAGCAAGTGAAACAATGATCCACAGGAGGCGCACCCGCCCTTACCTGCCTCAGCCAGGATTGCCGCAAATCAATCATGCTGAGTCCACAGGTGAGGAATAGCCAGATGGCCCCAACTTACTACCAGAGGACCCCGGGAAGCGTAGGGGAATACCTGGGTATATGTAGCACACGTTTGGTCTTTGTTACACAGCATCAAGCTTTCCACTATTATCACAACTCATTTTAACACCTAGATAGAAACAAATTTCTGCCTGAAAAGGGTCTGATACCTTGCAATTTTCTTACTTCTATAGCACATTCAGGCTGCAGCACAGAAACTCCTGACCTTCACGTTATATCACTATAATTATTTTAAACATGGTAAGTTAAGAAAAACAAATGAACAAACAAAAAGCTTTGTGAGAAAACACAGACAGATACAGCAAGTGGCTTTCATTTCCTGAACCTATTTTCTAATTATGATTCTGATTTTCCTTTTCTTTTTTTGATAGTTTAAAGTTTATTGTTCTTTCTATAAACCTTTTAATTTCAAACTGTTTTAGATTTACAGAAAATTGGATGATACAGTTTTCCCATACACTCTTACTCTACTACATCTTCCATTATCATGATATGCTTACCACAATGAATGACAAAATACAAGTATATTGTCATTAAATGAAGTCCATTCTCTCTTCAGATTTCCTCAGTCTTTCCCTAATATCCTTTTCATGTTCCACTATTCTATCCAGAATATCACATTAGTTATGTCTCCTTAGGCTTCTCTTGCCTGTAACAATTTCTCAGACTTTTCTTTTCTTTTTTATTTGATAACCTTTACACTTTTAAGAAATTCTGATACCAGTACCATGCTGTTTTGGTTACTGTAGCCCTGTAGTATAGTTTGAAGTTGGTTAGCATGATGCCTCCAGCTTTGTTCTTTTTGCTTAGGATTGCATTGGCTATTTGGGCTCTTTTATAGTTCATCATGAATTTTAAAATACTTTTCTCTAGTTCTAAATCATTATATTATAAAGACACCTGCACAGTTATGTTCATTGCAGCACTATTTGCAATAGCAAAGACATGGAATCAACCTAAATGCCCATCGATGACAGGCTGGATAAAGAAAATGTGGCACATATACACCATGGAATACTATGCAGCCATAAACAAGAATGAGATCATGTCCTTTGCAGGGACATGGACGGAGCTGGAGGCCATTATCCTTAGCAGACTGACACAGGAACAGAACACCAAATCCTGCATGCTCTCACTTATAAGTGGGAGCTAAATGATAAGAGCACATGGACAAATAGAGGGAAACAACACACACTGGGGCCTATCAGAGGGTGGAAGGTGGGAGGACGAGGAGGATAAGGAAAAATAACTAATGGGTACTAGGCTTAATACCTGGGTGATAATATAATCTGTAGAACAAACCCCCAGGACACATGTTTTCCTATGCATCAAACCTGCACAATGTGCCCCTGAACTTAAAATACAAGTTAACCAACAAAAAAGAAATTCTGGTATTCCTTAAATGATCAGGTAGTCTGTGAAATGTCCCTCCATTGAGATACACCTGGTGTTTTTCTTGTGAATAGACAGGAGTGATGTGTTTGGGGGAGAAAGACCACACAGTCAAGTGCCATTCTTGTCATATCATATCAAGGGTATATATCATCATGTGACTTTATCACTACTGATGTTATTAAACTTGATCCTTTGGCTAAGTAGTGCTTGTTGTGATTCTCCACTGTACAATTACTTTCCCTCTGATTTCCATACTTTTCTCTTTGGAAGGACGTTACTATGCATAGTCCAAAGCTTAAGGAGCAGTAAGTTATACTCACTTCTTGAAGATTGGCTATCTACATAAATGACATGGAATGCCTCTGCACAGATTTGTCCATTCTCTCCCAGTTATGTCAGTGTTCACTCCTGGATGTTAATTTCATATTTGGGTTATAATACTATTTCATTTATTTCTTTGCTCATATTGTCCCAGGCTTGGCCCTTGGGAGCCCTCAGCTGGCTCTCCATCATGTTGACATCACAATTTTTTTTTTTTAAGCTCTTCGTTACTTACTTGTACTATGAGATGCTCCAGGATCATCTTATGTATTTCCTACCCTGGTCATAAAGTCAGACATTTCTCCAAAGATACTAGGTTCTGTTATTTATATGATGTAAGAAACCAACATTGGGGCTGTAGTGTGCTCATTCATATTGGGGTGTTCTTTCTATTTCCTCTGAGCTGACAGAGCAAAGAAATATATATGCATATACTAACCCACATGCATGCATCTATGAATATATCCACATGCTACCTTACACAGATATATCTATGTTGAAGTAAATATTATTTCATATGGATGCTCTCAGCTCTAATCTATTATTATATAGATCATCACACCCTCCTTCCTTGTTCAGCTGTAAGTTCTTAATGTGAAAAACCTGGACCCCACTGTATACAGTCCATTTACATATTTATTTCCAGAATACATGTTAGAGTGGTTTTACAATTGTCAACATCAACCCATGTGAAAAACAGTTCTATCAAATAAAGTACAATGTTTCTGTGCAGTACATTTTGTTGAGTTTTAAAGACTCCACTAAACTTCCAAAGTAATTTAGGTCAGTAACCCCCATCCCTGAAGCTTCAGAGAAGTTGTTTCATGTATTTGTAATATGGTTCAATTTTTTGGCACGTTCTGCATTTCATCCTGTGATTTCCTGCACTCCTAATATTTTCTGATTTGTATACATTCACTCCTTGTGCTTTTATCAGTATGTAATGTTGCTCTTTAGCAATGACAATATTTCTTGTTCTGAAGTCTGCTTTTCCTGAAATTAATGTAGATACTACAGCTTTCTTTTGATTGTTGTTATCATGGTATGCCTTTCTCCATCTCTTTACTTTTCTGATTCTCTATATTTAAAGTAGATTTCTTATAGGTAATATATAGTCAAATCTTGTTTGTTTATAGACTGTTTATAACAGTCTCTGTCTTTTAATTGGTATAATTTGACCATTCACACTCATATATATATAAATATTACATGTTTGTTACTGTTTACTATTCCTTTGTTCTTTTTTTCTTTTCCGTTTCCTTCTGCCTTTTCTGGTTTTGTCTTTATTTTTACTTTTTAATTCTATATGCTAATTAGTGTTCTTTTTCTTTGTTTCTTCTAAAAAAATGGGATACATGTGCAGATCCTGCAGGTTTGTTACATAGGTATACGTGTGCCATGGTGGTTTGCTGCACCTATTGACCTGTCCTCTAAGTTCCCTCCCCTCACCCCTCACTCCCCAACAGGCCCTGGTGTGTGTTATTCCCCTCTCTGTGTCCATGTGTTCTCAATGTTCAACTCCCACTTATGAATAAGAACATGTGGTTTTTGGTTTTCTGTTCCTGTGTTAGTTTGCTGAGGATGTTGGGTTCCAGCTTCATCCATGTCCCTTCAAAGGACACGATCTCATTCCTTTTTATGACTGCATACTATTTCATGGTGTATATTTACCACATTTTCTTTATCCAGTCTATCATTGATGGGCATTTGGGTTGGTTCCATGTCTTTCCTATTGTAAACAGTGCTGCAGTAAACATATGTGTGCATGTGTCTTTATAGCAGAATGATTTATATTCCACTGGGCATATACCCAGTAATGGGATTGCTGGGTCAAATGATATTTCTGGTTCTAGATCCTTGAGGAATCACCATCCTGTCTTCCACAATGGTTGAACTAATTTACATTCCCACCAACAGTGTAAAAGCATTCCTGTTTCTCCACAGCCTCACCAGCATCTATTGTTTCCTGACTTCTTAATAATCACAAGTATTCCTTAATAATCGCCATTCTGACTGGCATGAGATGGTATCTCATTGAGGTTTTGATTTGAATTTTCCTGATGATCAGCGATGTTTAACTTTTTTAATAAGTTTTTTGGTCGCATAAATGTCTTCTTTTGAGAAGTGTCTGTTCATATCCTTTGATGGGGTTGTTTGTTTTTTTCCTGTAAATATGTTTATGTTCCTTGTAAATTCTGGATATTAGATTTTGGTCAGATGGTTAGATTGCAAAAATTTTCTCCCAATCTGTAGGTTGCTAGTTCATTCTGATGATAATTTCTTTTGCTGTGAGGAAGCTCTTTAGTTTAATTATATTCCATTTGTCAATTTTGACTTTTGTTGCAAATGCTTTTGGCATTTTTGTCATGAAGCCTTTGCCCATGCCTATGTCCTGAATGGTATTGCCTAGGTTTTCTTCTAGGGTTTTTATGGTTTGGGGTTTAACATGTAAGTCTCTAATCCATCTTGAGTAAATTTTTGTATAAGGTGTAAGGAAGGGTTCCAGTTTCTGTTTTCTGCATATGGCTAGCCTGTTTTCCCAGCACCATTTACTGAATAGGAGATCCTTTCCCCATTGCTTGTTTTTGTCCAGTTTGTTGAAGATCAGATGGTTTTAGATGTGTGGTGTTATTTCTGAAATCTCTGTTCTGCTCCATTGGTCTATGTGTCTATTTTGGTACCAGTACCATGCTGTTTTGCTTACTGTAGACTTGTAGTATAGTTTGAAGTCAGGTAGCATGATGCCTCCAGGTTTTTTTTTTTTTTTTGCTTCAGATTGTCTTGGCTGTACAAGGTCTTCTTTGATTCCATGTGAATTTTAAAATAGTTTTGTTTCTAATTCTCTGAAGAATGTCAATGGTAGTTTGATAAGAATAGCTTTGAATCTATAAATTATTTTGGCCAGTATGGCCATTTTCACAATATTGATTCTTCCCATCCTTGAGGATGGAATGTTTTTCCATTTATTTGTGTCCTCTCTTATTTCCTTGAGCAGTGGTTTGTAGTTCTCTTTGAAGAGGCCTTTCACATCCCCTGTTAGCTGTATTCCTAGGTATTTTTTCTCTTTTTAGCAATTGTGAATGGGAGTTCATTCATGATTTGGCTCTCTCCTTGCCTATTGTTGGTGTAAAGGAATGCTTGTGATTTTTACACATTGATTTTGTATCCTGAGATTTTGCTGAAGTTGTTTATCAGTTCAAGAAGTTTTTGGGCTGAGATGACAGGGTTTTCTAAATATAAAATCATGTCATCTGCAAAAAAGACAACTTGACTTCCTCTCTTTCTGTTTGAATACCCTTTATTTCTGTCTCTTACCTGATTTCCCTGGCCAGAACTTCCAATACTATGTTGAATAGGAGTGGTGAGAGAGGGCATCCTTGTCTTCTACTGGTTTTCAAAGAGAATGCTTTCAGCTTTTGCCCATTGAATTTGATATTTGCTGTGGGTTTGTCATAAATAGCTCTTATTATTTGGAAATATGTTCCATCAATACCTAGTTTATTGAGAGTATTAAACATGAAGGGATGTTGAATTTTATCAAAGGCCTTTTCTGCATCTATTGGGAAAATCTTGTGATTTTTGTCTTTGGTTCTGCTTATATGATGGATTACGTTTATTGATTTGTTTATGTTACGTTTATTGATTTGTTTATGTTGAACAGCCTTGTATCCCAGGGATGAAGCTGACTTGATCATGGGGGATAAGTTTTTTGATGTGCTGCTGGATTCAGTTTGCCAGTATTTTATTGAGGACTTTTGCATGGATGTTCATCAGGGATATTGGCCTGAAGTTTTCTTTTTCTGTTGTGTTTCTGCCAGGTTTTGGTGTCAGGATGTTGCTTGCTTCATAAAATGAGTTGGGAGGAGTCCCTCCTTTTCAACTGTTTGAAATAGTTTCAGAAGGAATGGTACCAGCTCCTTTCTGTATTTCTGGTAAAATTCAGCTGTGAATCCGTCTGGTCCTGAGCTTTTTCTGGTTGGTAGGCTATTAATTACTGCCTCAATTTCAGACCTTGTTATTGGCCTATTCAGGGACTCCATTTCTTCCTGGTTTAGTCTTGGTAGGATGTATGTGTCCAGGAATTTATCCATTTCTTCTAGATTTTCTAGTTTATTTGCGTAGAGGTGTTTATATTATTCTCTGATAGTAGTTTGTGTTTCTGTGGGGCCAGTGGTGATATCCCCTTTATCATTTTTTATTGTGTCTATTTGATTCTTTTCTCTCTTCTTTATTAGTCTAGCTAGTAGTCTATCTATTATGCTAACTTTTTCAAAAACCCAGCTCCTGGATTCATTAATTTTTAGAGGGTTTTTCATGTCTCTATCTCCTTCAATTCTTCTCTGATCTTAGGTATTTCTTGTCTTCTGCTAGTTTTTGGATTCGTTTGTTCTTTGCTGTCTAGCTCTTTTAATTGTGATGTTAGAGTGTTGATTTGAGAAGTTTCTAGTTTTCTAATGTGGGCATTTAGTGCTATAAATTTCCTTCTTAACACTGCTTTAGCTGTGTCCCAGAGATTCTGGTACATTGTCTCTTTGTTCTCATTGGTTTCAAAGAACTTGTTGATTTTTGCCTTAATTTCATTATTTACCCAGGAGTCATTCAGGAGCGGGTTGTTCAATTTCCCTGAAATTGTATTGTTTTGAGGGAATTTCTTAATCCTGAGTTCTAATTTGATTGCACTGTGATCTGAGAGACTGTTTGTTATGATTTCAGGTCTTTTGCATTTGCTGAGGAGTGTTTTACTTCCAATTATGTGGTCAATTTTAGAATAAGTTCCATGTGGTACTGAGAAGAACATATATTCTGTTGATTTGGGGTACATAGTTCTGTAGACATCTACTAGGTCCACTTGATCCAGAGCTGAGTTCAAGTCCTGAATATCCTTGTTAACTTTCTGCCTCATTGATCTGTCTAATATTGACAGTGGGGTGTTAAGATCTCCCATTATTGTGTGGGAGTCTAAGTGTCTTTGTAGGTCTCTAAGAACTTGTTTTATGAATATGGGTGCTCTGGTATTGGGTGCATATATATTCAGAATAGTTAGCTCTTCTTATTGAATTGTTCCCTTTACTATTACGTAATGCCCTTCTTTGTCTTTTTTTATCTTTATTTGTTTAAAGTCTGTTTTGTCAGAGACTAGGATTGCAACCCCTGCTTTTTTTTGCTTTCCATTTGCTTGTTAAATTTTCCTTCCATCCCTTTATTTTGAGCCTGTGTGTGTCTTTGCATGTAAGATGGGTCTCCTGAATGCAGCACACCAATGGGTCTTGACTCCTTATCCAATTTGC
This sequence comes from Homo sapiens, assembly GCF_000001405.40. NCBI lineage: Eukaryota > Metazoa > Chordata > Mammalia > Primates > Hominidae > Homo > Homo sapiens. The sequence goes on from NW_019805499.1 coordinate 87,784, forward strand.
CAGTCTGTGTCTTTTAATTGGGGCATTTAGCCCATTTACATTTAAGGTTAGCATTGTAATGTGTGAATCTGATCCTGTCATCATGATGCTAACTAGTTATTTTGCACACGAGTTGATGTAGTTTCTTCAGTGTCATTGGTCTTTATATTTTTGTGTGTTTTTGCAGTGGCTGGTATCGGTTTTTCCTTTCCATGTTTAGTGCTTCTTTCAAGAGCTCTTGCAGGACAGGCCTGGTGGTAACAAAATCCTTCAGGATTTTCTTGTCTGGAAAGGATTTTATTTCTCCTTCACTTATGAAGCTGACTTTGTCTAGATATGAAATTCTGGGTTGAAAACTCTTTCCTTTAAGAATGTTGAATATTGGCCCCCAATCTCTTCTGGCTTGTAGAGTTTCTGCAGAGAGGTCCATTGTTAGTCTGACGGGCTTCCCTTTGTGGGTGACCTGACCTTTCTCTCTGGCTGCCTTTAAGAGTTTTTCCTTCATTTTGACCTTGAAAAAATCTGATGATTATGTGTCTTGGGGTTGATCTTCTCCTGGAGAGTCTTAATGGTGTTCTCTGTATTTCCTGAATTTGCATGTTGGCCTGTCCTGCTAGGCTGGGGAAGTTCTCCTGGATAATATCCTGAAGTGTGTTTTCCAGCTTGTTTCCATTCTCCCTGTCTCCTTCTGGTACTCCAATCAATTGTAGGTTCAGTCTTTTTATGAAGTCCCATATTTCTTGGAGGCTTTGTTCATTCCTTTTCATTCTTTTTTTCTCTATTCTTGTCTGCATGTCTTATTTCAGTAAACGTGGTCTTCAAACTCTGATATTCTTTTTTCCACTTGGCCAGTTCAGCTGTTGATACTTCGGTATGCTTCACAAAGTTCTCTTGCTGTGTTTTTCAGCTTCATCAGGTCATTTATGTTCCTTTCTAAACTGGTTATTCTAGTTATCAATTCCTCTAATGTTTTATCAAGGTTCTTAGCTTCTTCATGTTGGGTTAGAACATGCTTGTTTAGCTCATAAAAAAAAAAAAAGCTCATCATAGTTTTTTATTACCCATCTTCTGAATCCTACTTCTGTCAATTCGTCCATCTGATTCTCTGTCCAGTTCTGTGCCCTTGATGGAGAGATGTTGGGATCATTTGGAGAAGAGGAGGCACTCTGGCCTTTTGAGTTTTCAGCATTTTTTCATTGATTCTTTCTCATCTTCATGAGTTTGTCTAGTTTTGGTTTTTGAGGCTGCTGACCCTTGGATGGGGTTTTTATGCGGGCCTTTTTGTTGTTGTTGTTGTTGTTGATGCTGTTGTTGTTCCTTTCTGCTTGTTTACTTTCTTTCAATAGTCAGGTCCCTCTTCTGTAGGGTGGCTGCAATTTGCTGGGGGTTCATTTCAGGTCTTATTCATCTGATTCGGTCCTGTGCCTGGAAATGCCACTCGACAAGGCTGGAGAGCAGCCAAGATGTTTTCCTCCTCCTTCTTCTGGGACCTCTGACCTCAAGGGGCACCAACCTGATGCCAGTAGGATTGCCCCTGTATGGGGTGTCTAACAACCCCTGCTGGAGGGTCTCACCCAGTTGGGTGACACAGGGAGCAGGACCCATTTAACAAAGCACTTTGTCCCTTGGTGGAGAGGGTGTGTTTCACTGGGGGAAGCCCACTTGTCTAGGCTGCCCAGATTCCTCAGAACTACCAAGAGGAGAGGCTAAGTCTGCTGATCTGCAGACTGTGGCCACCCCTCCCCCTGGGGGCTCAGGCCCAGGGAGATCCTCTGGCTGGAGTTATTGGAGATTCTGCAGGGAAGCCCCGCCCACTGAAGAAGGATGGGTCAGGGTTAGACCTGAAGAGGCACTCTGGCCACAGACTGGCACAGCCCATGCGTTGAGCTGTGGGACAAGTCTTGGGACCAAGCTGTCCAGCCTCCTTGGCTCCACCAGCAGAAAAACGCAGCCTGGAGCTATAGAAATGGGTGGCACCCTTCCCCTGCCCATGGAGCTTAGCTTGTTAGGCAGTTGCGAGTCCCAGTACTGGCTGCTGCCCCTCCCCCATGAGGCTAAAAGGCTTAGAGAGCAGGCAGCTGAAGCAGGTGCAAGTCGCCCCTCCCATTAGGAGTTCCTCAGGCTTAAGCAGATTCCAGCTGAGAGGATGTAAGAATCTGCGTGTTCCAGGGTTGGGAGGCTAGGCCCTGGTGGGGTGGGTTCGTGACTGGGATCTTCCGATCCGTGGGTTGCATACTTCCGTGGGATAAGCACAGTTTCCTAGGCTGGGTGGCATGCTCACTCACTGCGTCCCTTGGCTGGGGGTAGGGGGTTGCGGTGGCTCTCAGGTGGGCTGCCACACCACACCGATCTTCCTTCTCTCCGTGAGTCACGCCACCCTTCTAGTCAATTTTGATGAGAGAATCTGGATACCTTGGTTGCCAGTGAAGGATTCACACACTTATTATGTTTTTCTTTTCTTTTTTTTTTTTTTTTTTTGGAGCCTCTGAATGCATCTGCTTCTAGTTGGCCATCTTGGCCCTGCCCCTCCCCTTTTCTGGTGTTAATTGGGCATTTTATTTGATTCTATATTTTATTTGGTCTTAGTATGTGAATTATAGTTCTTTTTAATTTTTGTGTATGCTTGCCCTAGAGTTTGCAATATACATTCACAAATAATCGAAGTCCACCTTCAAATAGCATTATACTATTTCACATGTAGTACAGAAATCTTCCAATACAATATGACTGATTCATATGACATTACTGTTACTGACTTCACTTATCCAAAAACTATAATCACCCAATGTATTGTTAATATTGTTACTTTAACAGTTACCATTTAGTCCAATTACAAGAAAGAACAATAGTTTTATCTTTTTCTGATGATCTTTTTTTCCTTATGGAGATCTGAGTTTTTGACACTATTGCATTACTGTCACAAGACAAAATTACACTTCCACTTCATGAGCAATGCTTTTGTTCTAGATGTAACTTCTTGCCACCTTCATTACACAGAAGAGATATCTGCTTGCAAAACTTTACAGTTCAGAGAGGTTTTTGTGGTTAATATTTCAAAGCTACCCAGTGACAGACATAAAATTATGTACCTCATTTATCACTGTGAGAGCTTTGATTATATTTCCCAACCCCAGCTTCATGCCAAACTTTGCATCTGGAATTCACAGTTGCTACCTCTGTAAACCACTGCTTAGGATGCTATCTTGGTGCCCTCCACAGCATACAGGATCATGAATAACTATATATGCAAATTATAGTAGCATGAGGTAGAAAGGTCGTGGCAGTCTGAAAATAAATACTCAATGTGCAGAATCACCACCACCATCGCTATTCCAACCCCTCTCCTTCGAGTTACATTTTTCACTGTGGCTGCACCATCCTAAAATATTCTGTATTTATAACCAGTTCCCCTTTCAATTTAGGGGAAATGAGAATAGTATATTGTCCTCTCTAGGCAGCGATTTTGGGGAGATGTTTTCATGTGTTATAATCATTAGGACTGCTCATACATATTCTGGCTTTCTCTTATTTGGGGCACATGGTGGGATTCTACATTCTCTCCCATTTGAAGGTCAGTTTACATTTGTAACTTGTTTTGACCAGTGAAATATGTGCAAGGATGGTATCATTTCTGGACTGAAGCTTTAAGAGACAGTGCAAGTACTGCCAGTTCTCTCCTTTGTTCTATAATGTCTGACAGTCCTGAGATGAGAACAATGCAAAGTACAGCACTCCAGCTCCATTCGAAAGGCAGGTTGCATGAGTAAGATATAAGCCTCGCGTCTGTATCTCAAGTAGCACCCCCTCTAAAAATACGCTATCTGTTCACCTTAATTTACTTTTGGCTTTGTAGCAAAAAGTCACTATCTGAAATTATATTGTGTATTGATCTATTTTCGGGCTTACTGCCAGTCTGTCTAGAGATGAGAACTCTGTCTCTCCTATTCAAGACCATAACCCTGTTGCCTTGAACGATGCCTGAAGCACGGCAAGTGCTCGGTCAAGTTTCTCTGAAAAACAGAATTAATAAATGGCTTAAATTGGAAATCAGTTTTCACAAATAAACTAAAACTTGAAACTAAAACTTGATGAAGCCTTACTTTAGGCACCTTCATACAAATTACATGCAACAAAAACATTTCTTATGCACTTGCTATTCAGGGAATGCTTCCAGCTCACAGCTTTCCCTCTTTAGAATTCCCCATTAATTAGAAATGAAGGGCAATCTGTGATGGGAACGCTGATTTATCAGTAGGGTTTTCTCTCTCTCTCTCTGTCTCTCTCTCTCTCTCTCTCTATATATATATAGATATAGATATAGATATAGATATAGATATAGATATAGATATAGATATATAGCGAGTAGGTAAACAAGCAGGAGACTCTAAACAAAGCCATGGGCACAAATTACTGGGAAAAAAAGATACAAATGGAAGGAATGACACAGCCGGCTGCTTATGTTATCATCATTTCCCTGTCCCTTGCCTTTCCAGCAGAGTCAACTTTGAGCCCTGTTGCAATGGTTCTTCTTCTAAGAAAATGATGACACCCGGCTTTGTAAAAGAATTCTTTGCTCCCTGGAATGTGATGTACTGGAACAAAATGCATTTCCACGTCTGTAACAAAACAAAGAAAAACAAAAACACTTTTAGAGACTGTAAAATAATAAAATTATCAACTGCAACACCTCAGGGACGGCCCAGATGCTCCTATGGCCACGCACCTGCAGCAGGGACCTTCTCCCAGGTCGCCCCTACCGCCTGCCCAACTCGACCCCCGTCGTCTGCGCCTGCGCCCAGGCGCCTCTCACGCACCCCGGGCCCCCACCACCCTTTCCTGAGAACGTGAGCTTCGCCGTCTGCGCCTGCGCAAGGGAGCCCACCCGCTTCGCCGGAACTACCGCGGCACGAAGCCCCGCCCCCGCCCTCCTAGCCGTGGTCGCAGCCGTGTGCGCCTGCGCGCGGGATCCTCGCCGGCCTCGCTCTCTGCGCGGTCGGCGGCGCTGCAGGCGAGCACAGGACGATGACGAAGAGGACGGGGCTGCTGAGCGATCCCCAGCACCCAAGGACCTGGAGCCCCAGGTCGCAGCCTCAGGACCCGGAGGATGTGCCCAGCACCTCCAGGAGACGCGCGGACGAGGTCGTCGCCCCGCGGCTCGCCAATCAGGCGTAGTGTGGAGACAGGGCGGGGAGTACGCTGGCGGCCGTGTAGACCCGCAGCACGACACGGTGGACTCAGCCCGGGAGGGAGTCTAGCTGCGGGCCATGTCCAGCGTGGATTCCAGAACCCGCCGCCTAGAGTCGCGGGTCGTCCTGAGGGAGAACTGGCCCCTAGTGGGAGTTGGGCGCGTCCCTGGAACCTCCCCTCCTCGAGGGCTGGGAGTTAGCGGGAAGAAGAAGAGGCCGCGGGCACCATGATTCAGACCCGGAAACTACGCCTCCAGGCATGGCTAGGAGAAATGGGCTTCGGAGACCATGGCCACCCCTCTCCCTGCCTAGGAGCACGCCTGCCCCAGCACCCGGGCCTGAACGCAGCGAGAGCTCCAGAGCCTGCGAGTCCCAGAGGTCAGGATCCGTTCCTTCTGAGGTGTCCCTAGGAGCTCCCTGAACCTCAAGCCAAAGGCCAGGCTACGGTGGTCAAGTCCCCCAAGTAGGGGGTCTTTTAAAATACTTGGGTGGCTGGGACGGTGGCTCAAGCCTGTAATCCCAGCACTTTGGGAGGCCGAGGCGGGTGGATTGCTTGAGCTCAAGAATTCAAGACCAACGTGGGCAGCATAGCAAGACTCCCTACAAAAAAAATAATAATAAGATTATATATATATATATATATATGTACACACACAAACACGTACACAAAAAATAGCCGGGCATGGGGCTGCAGGCCTGTAGTACCAGTTACTGGGGAGGTTGAGATGGGAGGATTGATTGAGCCTAAGAAGTGGAGGCTACAGTGAGCCAAGATTGCATCACTGCATGCCAGCCTGGGCAACAGAGCAAGACCCTGTCTCAAGGGAGGAAAAAATAAAAAAATAAATAAAAATTTAAAAAAAGAACACTTGAAGTTACTCAGATCAGGACTCATGCAGAGAAAAGCCAACAGGAGCAACACCCCACATTAGGGGAGGAAGACACCTGGGGATTCACTGACTTCAGTTGTGTGAATTTTACCCTATGACCTTGCTTGCTTTATGAGACAGCAGAGGTGGCCAAGGTCAATCCTACTGCTCTGTGGTGAACTCTGCTTTTCTCTCGTTACCATAGGTAAAGGGTCATGCTCCTATGTAAGCCTTCCTGTTCCCCAGTCATTTGTGCACGGGGTAGGCCATCATCTCCTGCCTATTCAAGGGAATGACTAGTCCTGTCTTCTGTATCCTCAGTCACCAACTTCTCAGTTAGTGTTGAACCAAGCCTATGTTCAAAACATGACTGAGACAGACCTCAATCCATAGAGATTTATTTAGCCAAGGTCCAAGGACACATCTAGGAAAAAATACGGGATCACAGGAGCATCTGCGCCTTCTACTTTTTCCAAAGAGGGTTTTGGGAACTTCAGTATTTAAAGGGGAAACAGCAAGCAGGTGAGGAAAAAAAGCGAGGAAGTGTAGGCAGTGACAGATGCTCACATTCTTGTGAAACTCTGTTTACCCTAGTAAATCTGCATTTTACATGTGAAAAGAGGGAGTAAAGGAAATAGTCAATAATGCATTCCTCTCAGGATAGGCCCACGTGGATTTTTAATCTTGTCCTTGCCCTGTGAAGATAAGCTGGTAACTGACATTGTCAGGGTGAGATTCAGCAGAACTCAGTTTTAGGACTAACTTACAGAGGAGCTGTGTATCCTGAAGATTCAGCGACTGGCAAGGAATTTCCTTGGGAGCAATGTGTGAGGGAGGCCATCTGAGGAGATCTGTGGCTTTCTTTTGTTGTGGGAATCTGGCTTATGGATGAATCTACGACACAGGATTGTGAAATTACAGCTCTTTGGGAACAAAAGGAAGGCAGTATTGCATGACTTAGTTTCCCAGCTTCACTTTCCCTTTGGCATGGTGAGTTTGGGGTCTTGAGAGTCTATTTTCTTTCACACCCATCAGCACTGTTAAGTAAGCAGGAAGACAACCTGAGGTTGTCTCTTTACTTTGAGTTCCTACATAATAAATTGCAGCCTAATTTAGTACATAAACCCAAACCTAATTTAGGAGTAAATTTTTTGTAGCAGATAGCCAGATTTCAGCCAATCACAGGCTTCCAGCTAACAAGACTATGCCCAAATAAGGCAAATGCCTCATCACATGATGCTCAAATAAGGCAGCCACCTAGGCGAGGCCAATCAGGTAACTTTTCTACTTTGCTTAATTGTTCAGCCTGTACAAATTTGCTGCTTATGACTGCTGAGCAGAGCTGTCTAAACCTCTTCTGGTTTGGAGTGCTGCCTTATATATGAATTGTTCTTTGGTCACATAAAATTGGTTAAATTTAACTTCTCTAAAGTTTTGTATTAAATTGTATGTAAAACATTGGTAGCACAATTTGGATTCAGATACCCAAATATTGACTATGATAATGTAAATAATCCTTAAGCAGACTGATTTACAAAGGCCTGAACAAGTTTGATATTCTGAATATTCACTTCTTCTGATGAAAAAATTGCCAAGACCTTACAATTGGCAGGAAAAAAAATGTGTGTTGGTTAAATAAGTTATGTTAACAACAAGAACATTACCACAATTAGAAAACTCTTACTATGCCAGGCACTATTATAAACACACCTTTGTACCTTTTTTAATCCTGAAAAATTTCTAATAAATATGCATTTAATATTATTTGTATTTAATATTAAGTGTATTTAATATTGCCCCTGTTTTGTGAATTAATGCAGCAATAAACTGGCTTGCAATGGTGATGTATTCTATAAGGCAGCCATTGTTGTCATAATGCTACATAACACTACCCGAATCTCAGTTGCTTATAATTCAAGTACTTATTTTTCTTGTCCATAATCTGTGAATCCTGCTGAAATCAGCTAGACTTTGCTCCAGGATGAGGGATTGGTCCAATTCTGTTCCATCTTTCCACGCATCTTTCATCAGGTTATTAGGAAAGAGTACACTTCACTGGCTGCTCTACTGGGAGGCTTTATCTCCATTAAGTGAACCACAGAGAAAAAAGAAGAGAAGAGTTTTACTTCTGTCATCTGGTGATACATTGCTTTGGTGAATACAAGAAACCACAGGATAAGCAACAGGGCTCTTTGGTAAATTCCACAGGCTCTCCTGATAGGGCAGCCAAGTCTTTTCCCAGTAGCCAGCCCTTTGCACTAAAACATGTGGATTTTATTTCTATGGATGTTGTGAGTGTGGACCTAAACTTCTCTAAGAGAACTTGTATTTCTCAAGCCTAAAGATGTATTACATTTTTTTTTGTATTTGTATTTGATCCACATAAAGAAGGGGAAAAAAATTTGTGTGTGTGGATAGCATTCCAAGAAGGAACTCTAGCCCCAGGAAAGCTGCTATTTCTGCTCTTCTCCAGCTACCTGCCAACAATTTGTCCTCAAAAGAGGCTCTTTCTGACTATTTACAGATCTGTCACTTACAGATTGGCAATTTTCATGCATTTCATTCTGCTTTGCTTTACTTCATACTGGCATCATCTTTATCAGAAGGATATATAAATATAGATATATGGATATCGTTTGTCTTCCCTTTCTCCACATTAACATATTCCATGAGTGCAGGAAGTGAAATGGCATCTTTATTTCATTACTCTCTGGTCCATAATACATTCCCTGGCACAAAGGGAACACTTAAATACTTAACTATCAAAATAAAAAAATAAATAAAATCACTGGATATGGAACATGCTCATTATTAAATGTTTTTCTAGCACTCTACCAGAAAACTATCAGCCACTGTTCCACCACGGTGCTTTCCCTCTCTTGCTTCTTGCACCTCCTCTGATGTTCTTCCTTTTTGTTAGTTCCAGTTCCACATCACAGTCACGCAAATGTAAGAGAATGGAGAATGCAGTCCTTTCTCAGCTGGGCACAAAGTAATGCTGAGTGAAACAGAAGTTGTTATTGTGGAAGAGGTAGGTGCCTGAACTGGGTGTCTCCTGATAACCTTTCTCCCCATTGCTCTGTGTCCCATATTCAGAGTAGACTCACCAAAGTTCTCCTTTGCTTTCTAGCTTCCAGTCGATTTTGAAAAATTCAGAGCATGGGCAAGACATAGCAGAAAAAGAAATTGTGATTGATTGGAGTATTTATTTTCCTGGCTTCCTCCATGTGGAGTTGCTAAAGACCGGCTGCATCTTTCAGCTGCAATCACAGCTCCTGCCTGGCAGCCTTCTCGGTCTCCAGGTTGTAGGAACCTCTTTGTCTTATCTTTCAGGCCTGTGGGTGGCAATAATGTTCTTTATTAGTACTAGCCTTAAGATTTCACCAATTATTCCAGCTGTTTACTGGAAACCACAAAAAGCACACTGACTGACATCGCCACTACGTGTCTTTCTTTTAGGGGCATAATAAAGTAGGAAACACATTTATTGTCCTCCAGAGAGGGCCTCCAAGTCAACTCCGCATGTCTGACTTGCCCCAACCATTTTATGGAGTGCACTGAAGTGTTTTAAGGTCCTGCTTCCCTTCCAGAACAGCACCTTCCTTAGAGTGACTTCTTAGTGCTCCTCAGGCTCAAAGCCAGACCATGAAGATGTCATATTTTCCCTAAAACTGAAAGCTCCTTGAATCAAGGGAACATGGATATTTGACTCAACTGCTCTAGTCTTGTAGCAGACAAGACGCTGCTTCCAGCTACAGATCTTGAGAAGGCTGCCTCGCACCTATTTAAAATAACATGAAAATCAGTAGCTCACATTGCAAAGCCGAAAGAAGGAAATCCTCCAACTTCAGTCACTTCAGCTGTTCAACCAAATCCTTAATACATAGGGCTCTTTTCATCTCTCTGTTCAGCTGTCCACTAGAACAGCAGTCCCCAACCATTTGGCACCAGGGACTGGTTTCATGGAAGATAATTTTTCCATAGACTGGGGCAGGTTGGGGGGATGGGTTCAGGATGATTCAAGTAAATTACATTTATTGCGCACTTTATTTCTATTATTATTATATTGTAATAAATAATGAAATAAGTATACCACTCACCGTCATATAGAATCAGTGGGAGCCCTGGTCTTGTTTTCCTGCACCTAGATGGTCCCATTTGGGAGAGATGGGATACCGTGATAGATCATCATGCATGAAGTTCTCATAAGGAGCGTTCAACCTAGATCCCTCACATATGCAGTTAACATTCAGGTTTGTGCCTACACTGCTCTGACAGGAGGTGGAACTCAGATGGTAATGCAAGTGATGGGGAGTGGCTGTAAATACAGATAAAGCTTCACTGGCTCACCTGCTGCTTACCTCCTGCTGTGTGTGGCCCGGTTCCTAATAGGCCACAGACCAGGGTTGGGGAGCCCTGCACTAGAAGTTTCATTTGATCTATGTGCTCACATCATCACAGAGAGTCAAAAAGACAGAGAAATAATCATTTCCCTAATCAAAAACTGTAAGGTCCCTTCCTTTAGTCTGATTGAGGCAACTCAGGACATGTGTTTACCCTTGGATCAAACATTGTCATCAACAGGATCCTGGGTTTATGCATCTTGGAGCTGGCAATTAGGTCAGCTTTTCTGAAGTACAAGGAAAAAGAGAAGAAATCTTAAATCAAATTAATGTTCTCTTGGGAATGAGAAAGGGATTTGTATGTTTGTTTTCCAGGAGATTATTTTATTCTTTTTCTTCTCAGCATCTTGCTTCACCTTCTTTCTCTCCTAACCTGGCTCTCCCACTCTGTGGTCCATGTTTCAGGACCCCGTATCTGACCAGTTTCCAACTCATCTTCACTTGGGAGTTGGCTGTGAAGAGACAGGCAAGTCTCTTCATCAAGCAGGAGGAAAACATACAGCGGGAAGGAAATATGAAACGACCTCATTTCTAGTTTAACCCTTTGGATCTCCTTTGTACCACGTCTCCTTGGATGAGAAGAGTCTCCCTCTCATCAGCACATTAAGGAATCTACCATACAACTTCAGTCTTCAGTATTGCCAAAGACTAGTAACCTATGCTCCAAGAGTTAATGACTATAAGTGCATCACTGAAGCCTGTAGAAAAAGGCCCTGATGCCTCCTGCCCTAATAATTTGTATGTGTTTATTTTTTTCCATTTGCAAGATAGAAAACAAACTGGTCTGGTTACAACTAACCATAGATTTGCACCAACTATTAGAAATGGATTTTTTTATCATCAGTTTTTTTTCATGTTGTGTTCATGCTCATCCCTCAGATATTTATGTTTCAGTCTTGGGTAATTTATTTCTATTTACTTTAAATTTCCTTATGAAATAGTTTCAATTATATCACAGGTTGTTATAAATAGTTGGTGTTAAATTATATAGAGGTATTACATTGCTACTTAATGCCTGCATTTGATGTGGTTATTACAATGGTGAAGCTATAGATCACCGTAGCAACAAAAACAAGAATTCATAGCCTGTTTCAAACATAAGAGGCTGAAAATATTTCATAGTTATTGAAAGCTGAGGTATGAAGCAATTTAAACATTTAGCTGCTGAGTAATTGGGATCTAGAAATACAGCAACCTAGATACTGAATTTTTAGAAGAGTCAATATTGAATAATAGCACAGGTCATTTACTTTTAATTGTCTAGCCATCTGAATGCTTGAGCATGTGAACAGTAACTTCACCCATGTAGCTTATTTATCTATGTTTCATAAACAGGCTACCTTCTGAGAGTTAATTGTGTGAACAGGAAAAGTCACTACCTAATAAATTGATGTTCACTTTTACTGATAAATTTCCATAAGCATTGCCCAGGGCAGTGTTATCTTTGTCTCTATGGTAACCAATGCTATAAAGAGATAAAAGAATCAAAAGAGGGAATATCACCAGTATCATACATAAAATATATGCCTAGAATTATAGGAGATACCAGAAGATTATGCATTTTGGGGGGGATTCTTGTTTGACAGGACACATAAATCACTTGTTGCTTTACTCATTCATAGAGCTAAAAATGTGAGATAGCACCTGTGTTCTCCTGCAAATATGTGTAAGACCAATTGATGACTATGTGCTTCGAGAAGCTTCTTTGTACCATGTCTCCCTAGATAGGACGGGCGCCCTCTCTGATCAGCATGTTAAGGAATCTACCCTAACAAAAGGTTTGAAAAAGTTGGTTGGATTGGCTACATGCATAACTCGGGATCAGTTCTCTTCATGCATCTGCTAATACTCATGGTTCCTGAAAAAGACTTGATATGCTTGCTCTTTGGAAGAGGGGATTAGCTTTGACCCTTCTTCCACAGCTGTTCCAGTTCTGCTCCCAACTTTTTGAAAAATTATCTTCTGCAAATATGCCTCTTGTCATTACCATTTTAGCTTCTCTCCTCCTGATTCTCTTCTGAGAAAGTACAAAGAAGAACATCTGTTGAGGCAGGAACACTCAGGAATGTTAGAAACATTGGAAACTTGGCAAGACATGCAGGAATGTTGAGTTAGGGGTAGGAGGAAGACTGGAAACACTCATATAGTGAAAAAAAAAATATATATATATATATATATATATGATCTATGTATAGATGGATGCAATTGCACCGTTATAAGGAGATGGTTAAGTGGTTTCACCTGTAGGAGTAAGGAATTTCCAAATAGAACAGAGTACCTCATTGCCTCTGTTGCAGAGATCCTCTGAGGAGGCATTATAGATATTTGGGCTGACATGACTCTACTGTCTGGGACTGTTCATTCACTTTAGTGTATTCAAAATCCCCTATCCCTATTCATGAAGTGCCAAAAGTGCTCTTGGGTTAGTGTAAAAATCACAAACTTCCCCAAGGACTTCCAAAACTTTCTGGGAGTTGAAATACTACCATGGGGATGAGAACCAATAAAGGCAATTTAATAATTTAAACATGTCCTAAGAATCCAATATATCACTGACTTTTGGAGTGAAACATACGTTTGTCTAACTTATGTTTATCTGAGTATTTGAAAATCATCTTGCTATAATTCATCTCCACATAATCCCCATTTACCTAACCTGTGGGGCAGATGTGCTTAAAGAGCTGCATTTGTCAAACTCTTGGGTGATCAAGACTTATCCTGCTTAGATTGAGGTCTGGTAGTCAGTCAAGGTCATGGTCAGTGTGTGTGTCTCCTGGTCCTGGCCATCACTCATCTCTGCATGGAAAACTTGCTGGGAACGTATTGGTCACATGGCTTACCTGTGTTCTCAGCTCCAAGAAAAAGGAGATGTATCACAAAATAGACTTTGTCGAATTGAACATGTGTTTTCATTTTTTTTACTACAGTCAAGGCAGAAAGTGTTGGCAATAGAAGACTTACACACAGGCAGGCACACACACACACACACACACACACACACGAACACAAAACATGCTGCCTTCCTGAAAACACATTTACACATTTGCATCATTTCTGGAGGAAGGTAGAGTAACACCAACCAGCTGCATCTTCTTTGCTTCCAGTTGCTTCCCTTTAGATCAGCTCCACTGCAAACTAGGTTCCAGTCCTGGCTTTGCTACTTAACCTGCTGTGGAACCTTGGTTAAATGGTCAGCCTCTCTAAACCTTAGTTTTTTAAATCTGTGAATTGGGAATTAAAAATTTCTATGCAATAGACTTCATTCTAGGGAGAAAGTGATGAGATTTATGCAAAACTCTTATCATAATAAAGTTTCAGTAATTGCTAACTATTATCATTAATATTGTTATTTGAGGGGAATTCAAAAGAAACTGAACTGTTTTAACTGAAGTGTAACATTCATATATTAACATGCCCAAATCTTGAGACTATACCTAGACGAAGATTTGTATAATGCTGTGCACCTATGTAACCCCTTCCAGAATACTTAATTATTCAGAATATAGAATGTGAACAGAATATCAGAATGTTTCCCCATGCCTTCCCCACGAATTCCCAACTTCTACCTCTCCCTTCAGAGAAGGGGTGAGGATAATTAATCTCCAATAATTTTAGGTATTTTTGGAATTCATCTGGAGGGAATAATTCACTATAGATTATTTTGTGTTTGGCTTCTCCTGCTCTTTTTTTAATGTTTGGGAGATTTATGCATACTGCTCTTTGTAGAAATACTTCATTTCTATTGCTATATTCAGTTTTTGCTTTATTGCAATATTCAATAGTGTGAACACTCTGTGATGTGTTCATTTGTTTTCTTATTTGTGGGCATTTTTGCTGTTTCCAGATGTGCCTTTTATGAAGAAATCACATTTTTTTTGAAGAACAAATTTATCTTGGGGGTACACCTAGAAGGTGGACTTCTGAGTCAACAGATTGGTGTTGACTTGGATTTACTAGATGATATTGCCACAAGTTGTTGGACATCCAAGGTAATTATATCTCAATTCAACAGTGACTTTCCACCTTCGAATTTTGTTTCTGCCAAAGGTGTTTTCTGGCTTTAAGTAGAAGAAACCATGATATTTGGCCTAGTTTTATATTCTTGGCCATCAGAGAAACCCATGGATACCTACTGTACTATAATAATCAATGAATATACAAATCAATTCATCTATCCTCTTTCTTTTCTTTCATGAAAAATCCTGCTTATAATGTTTGAACAACTGTTCCTCTTTATTACTTTACTTCCCGCTCTTCTAATATTTTGACATCTCCTAACATCCACTTTACTTCAGTCACTTTGCTGCAGAAAAGAAAACCTGTTGAAGGAAAAAAGAAATAATGAAAAAAAAGGCAACTTATGAACTCATTGTGCTGTGTTTCAGTCTCACCTTTCAAAGTCTCAATCAAACAACACCATTAAAATTTTCATGTTCATTGTTGTGATTGCTTTCACACCCCCTCCCGGAAGGCTGCAGTTTCAGAAAGTGTAATCCTTGCCTTGCAACCTCCACACCCACCTACGTTAGCCTTCTCCTGTAATAAAGCAAAACAAGTTCTGACAGCTTGTCCTTTATCCCAGTGGCTGAATCAGGGCTCTCAATCGGTTCTGAAACATTCAAATTAGGAACTGCTGTGTCTTTGCTCTGGAGATCAATCGAAACACTTTCACAGAAGTGTAAAAATGAACCTCAGAATGGATAAACTCTAACAGAAGTCATAACCTTATCTTCTAGCAGCTCAAATTACTTTGTTTCTAAATCTCTGGACAAGAAAAACTATATTCTGGTTTAACAGAAGCATGAAATATGCCAACACATGTGCAAAAGTTTGAACTGATGGAGGGACAGAAAGAGAGTGGAAAGAGAGATGGATTCCCTGCAAGGGGTGTTAAAAATGTGTCGGGTTGGACACTGGAGTCTGGAAGACCTGTTATTATTTTTATTCCCTGCGCAAGTGGCAGCAGGTGAACTGTAGGACGCTGTCTCTTGTGCCGAGCTGATGGGTTGCAAAATTAAGAATCAGCGCCAGGCAGCCCATAGCAGAATTACAGATGGGTTTTTGGTGCTTCTCACAAAATGGAAACTATGTAGATGGTTCCTGAAGACAGGATAGGAGCTGGTCTGATTATTAGCCGTTGCTTTTCTGAGCACCATACTCTAAGGGAAGATCATTAACAGCAGCAGAGATTTGGGGGCAGTTTTGTATTTTGCTTTTCTTAAACTTGAGTAACTATTAGGTAGGAGATTTCTAATCATGACAAAAACCTTGAAAATGAAATAAAACACCCATATATTTCTCAATTTGAAAAGGATTTGGGAGTCAAATGTGAGCTACTGGAGGAGGAAGAGCAGAAGTTGCTTTTATTTTACCTGATGGTGCTTCTGTGACCTGCAGGATGTCTGTCATCTCATTCCACCCACAGTGACACTGAGTCACTGTAATGACTGAGAATGCTCTGGTTAGACAGGCATCAAGCATGTGCTGCAGCTGCACATGGACAGGCAGATCAGGGCACACAGGGATGAGCCCAGGTGAGAGGAATAGGAAAATTCTCTGAAGTCAGCACTGCCTGGTGGAGGACAGCACGTGTTCTAGACAGAGTCTGGCCTGGGGAAATACACATTCTGCAGTGTTCTGGTTGAGGTGGGGCAGGGGCGGGGGTGTTACAGGAAAAAAAAAGCTCACCATAGCTTTTTAAACCAATGGATTTCATGTGCCCCTGGGATGGAGCTGTCATGAGCTTTGTGGATTGTCTTTGCTCAGGACTCAGTAAAACTGAATCAGGGTTTGGTACTGACTGGCTGGCATCAGGACAAGGCAGCAGGGTGCAGTGGTGATGAGCGCCTGCTCTGAAAACAGACAGGCCTGGGCTCCGGCGCCAGCACTGCCCTGTGACCTGTGTCATCCAGTGTGCTATGTAACCAGTCTGGGCCTCACCATCCTGAGCTGTAACTTGTAAGTACCTCATAAGATTGGTGCAATGGTTAAATTGGGAAGTGAGTGTAAAGTGCTTCTTAGAATGCCTGGAACATAGTGAATCCTCCAAAGACTGCCCGTTTGGTGGATAGACATTGCTTGTTTTGACTGAAAGATGTCATAGATCAGAAACACCCCTGACAGCAGGGATGCTCAGGCTGGAACACGATTGATCCTCCAGCAACCCAGGCAGCTGAACTGAAGTTAGAGGTGGAGAAACAGAGCCTTGATGTCCAGGTAAAAAGTGAAGGAAAGCTCCTCTGATGAAGGGGCCATGGAAGGAGTGCCGCTTGCTGCCTGTTCTAATTGGAAAAGCCACCGATGACTAGAAAGACTTTGCTTTTTGAGTCTAGTGATTTCATCTTGTCCATAATACAGCCGTCAATTTATCTAGGTCTGCGTGCTTAGATTTCTTTTCGTTGAGTCCTTTGCTACAAAGTAAATTTGACTGTAATGTGTAGAGTTGACTTCTTTTCATTTTTCTCAGGTCTCTTCTCTTGCTGTTCCTGATGGCTTCTGATTAAGGCTGTCATCTTTTAGGGATGACTCAAGGTCACTGTATATTCTTCAAAAAACAAACCAAAGGCCGGGAGCGGTAGCTCACGCCTGTAATCCCAGCACTTTGGGAGGTCGAGGTGGGCAGATCACAAGGTCAGCAGTTCTAGACCAGCCTGACCAACATGGTGAAACCCCGTCTCTCTAAAAACACAAAAATTAGCCAGGCGTGGTGGCATGCACCTGTAATCCCAGCTACTCAGGAGGCTGAGGCAGGAGAATCACTTGAACCCATGCGGCAGAGGTTGCAGTGAGCCAAGATCGTACCACTACACTCCAGCCTGGGTGACAGAGCAAGACTCCATCTAAAGAAAAAAAAAAAAAAAAAAAACAGAAAAATAAACTTTTGGATACAATTGTAAGTTAATGCGCAGTTGTGAGAAATAATACAGAAAGATCCCATCTACCTTTTCATCCTACTTTCTCCAGTGATAATATCTTTCCTAACTATACTACAATTAATAACACAACCAGAAATTGTCATTGATACTATTTCTCTAACTTATGCAGATTTCATCAGGTTTACTTTCACATGTGTAGACGTCTATGTGTCATTCTGTAAGATTTTGTCACAGGTGTAGATTTTTGTACTGTCTTTTAAGATTGTACCTTTTTTTAATGAGTGAAAAAATGTGCCTCAGAAAGGGATCTATTCAAATACAAGAATTATTGCCTACGTCATTATCTCCAAAGAAAATCTGTAATAATGAAAACCTTGTCTTACGGTTTCAGCTGCTACAATCTCTCATATAGCTTCTCTAAGAGAAGCCTGAAACACAACTCCAAGGCAATCTACAAGCCCTCTGTGGTCTGGAGGTCACCACAGAAATATCCCTGGCTGCCACTGTCTTGGGAGTTATATAATAAGCCATGTAGGTCAACTTCAGCAATCCACTCAGACCCCAGCATGCTCCTGGCAATCTGGAGAGAGGAGAGGCACGATTAAGGAGAAATGTATCCACATTTACTACACTATGCTCCTAGTATCCTTTAAGTTTTTTAATCTTCATTTAAAGCTTTGTTGAAGTACAATTGACATTAAAAATGCAAATATTTAAAATAAAGTGTACAATTTGATGAGGGTGGACATATGCATATTGATACAGGATTTTCTTCTCAGTCATTTAGCAAGCCAAGGACCTCTGGCTGGCCATGATCCGCCCCCAGGCCTCACTTGATCAAGCTACCTGCTGTAGGAGACAGCCCACCCACTCAGCCTGCCCCGCTGAGTGTGGCTTGTGCAACAGTAACTGAGTTCTTGTCCCACGCCCAAGATGAATGAGGATGCACTGACAATCAAAGAGTGAACAAGGCGGGGAGTTTTATTGAGTGATAAAAGAGCTTTCAGTGGAGAGGGAATGCAGGGGTGGTGCCCCTACCCGAAGGTGGGAAAGTCTACCCAATATGGCTGAATCCAGGGTTTTTTATGGACTCAGAAAGGGGAAGGGGCAGGCCATAGGTAGTATTGGAAGAGGCAACATTCAATGGGTTAAAAGGCATTAATCAGAAAGAATCAATTGGGCAAGGGTGGGCAAATAGGAACAGAAGTTCTCACTCTGGGTTACAGGTTTCATCCAAATCTGGTCCTTTAGCCTTCATGCTGTTGTTGGCCTGAGGGTGGGGTTTCACCAGGGATCCACCCCATCTGTGTAGGCATTTGGTTCCCTCTTGTTGCTATCAATATGGCTATAATGAATATATTGTTTTTGTTTTTTATGTAATGTTTTATGTCATCAAATTGATTACATAATTTAAGTAACTGTTGATTGAGAAACCTACTACAATAAAGTGTGAGTAGTTTTTACATTTAATAGTCTTCAATGTTACCAATAGATGATATATTTAATAGAGCCATTTATCCCCAAAGATAATTTATCAAATAATAGCAGATAGTGATGGATAAAGCTCTCCAGAAGATGTTTTTATGCAACTGAGTTTTCCACCATGCTAGGTATTTTTATTAGTTCAGGGGAAAGAACTGGGCAGTGGAAACTGTATTCACTTGGACTAAACAGAGACGTTGTAGGCTATTGAAGACTGGCCAGGATGGAGGAGTTGAACTTCTGATAAAACTAATATGTAGACTTTTACAAACAATATTCACTAGAATAAAGTGAGTGCAAGGTTGTTTAATGAAAAAGTGACCTGTCAGTATCCTATTTCACCATAATGAATGTATTAACTAGCTTTATGTAAAATGTGGCACCAGACAGCTCACATCAGCAGGCAGTCAGTCTGCTTTCTCTGAGGTTTCTAATACCAAAGACACAACTAAATAGGAGCCAGATCTTCTGTATCCCCTTCCTATCCAGGGAAAGAAGGGGGAGATGCAGCCAAAGAACCTTCCAATATATCTTAAAATAATGACTTACCAGGTTAAACTTTGGACCTTTACTCCACTAAATAAACCTGAAATCAGTTCCTGGAGTTTGACAAAAGCACCAGGTCCAGGGCCGACTCATTGAGAATTGATCCTCTGATTGATGATAATTTTACCATCAATGCTCTAAAAATCAGTGAAACTGCCTTTGCAATAATTATAACAGAGAGAAAATTTAAACAGTGGGGCAGATCTGATCATCCAAACTCCCTCTTGCTTTTGGCCTTCAAGCTGCCTTAATTATTCCTGGGTTTAGGCTGGGCTAGCTTTGGTAGACATTTAGTTTATAGTTTAAATGATAATAGCCTTTCCCTAAAATTCAACTGCCTTTGGAAAACTAATGAGAAACCACCAGTCTAGGAGAATAGCGGGAACTGAATTCTGCTAAGTGTAGACATAAATGATTGCCAGCCATTATTCCAGAGGGCACAAGATATGCAACTTCCCCAATTACTCCTACAGATAACATCCCTACCGTAGAAGCTAAGATTGGCATTTTGAGATATCTTTGCAGATTTTTTTGCATGTCTGACACTGATGATGGCTCCACCTGGACCCACCAACCACTCCTGTAGCCCCACCTAGAAGTGATTCAGCCACAGGGGGATCAATGAGTCCCTGCTGCTGATTGCTTGGGGGTGCAATTATAGGGTGATTACACTCCCAATCAATCAGCAGTAAGCACCCACTGCCTAGCCACTCCTACCCCTTCCCCAAACTGTTAGTGGTGGAGGCTGTGAGGTTCTTGGCATCTTGAACAAAGAATTGGACAAAACACCAAAACAAAGCAAGGAAGGAACGAAGGGTTTTCTTGAAAATGAAAGTACACTACACAGTGTGGGAGCAGCCTGAGAATAGGGGCTCAAAGGCCCCATTACAGAATTTTGGGGAGCTTAAATACCCCCTAGAGGATTCCACTGATTATTTTGGGTACTCCCTATGTAAATGGAGAGGATGAAGTAAAGTAACAAAGACATTTACTGTATATATGCTATGGAGAGGGCATTTCCGTTATAGCTGAAGTGTGAATCAGCCTTATGTTCCCTGCCTCCAGACCCTATTTTCCTGCCTCATTTCCCCCTGAGAGTTGTGATCCCCACAAATCTTTATGGGAGGCAGAGGCACCTATGGTCTTTTTTCTGTAACTGCTTCATGCTGACTTGGGGTGTAGTCCCTACCTATTGGGGACCATGGAACACTTGCTCTGCTCTGTCTAGTGGAGGCAGGGTAGCTTCTTGATGGCCAGGGGTGGTGTCTTCAACTGGAACTGCCTAGAGCCTTTGTTGCATGATCATCTGAAGCTTGATGGTCTCTAGGCGAGAGGGAATGAATTTGGTGAAAAGATTTAATGGGAACTTCAGGGGATGGATACCTATACAGTCAGAAATGTTTGTTACAGAGATTTGCAGGAGAAAAAACAAAACCTGGTCTGTTCTAGAATCTATGTGTTTCCTTAAAGCCTTAGCACGAATGACTCCATTTTGTTTGGCTTGGTTTGTTGGGGCCTAGTGCATGAGCTCAGTCCAAAACAATGGCCTCCCATATTTTGTTTAAAAAATATCTCTTCTTTTTGGTCAGGCTCTCACTTAGGTGAGAGTGTAACCAATACTTAGGGCCTTAGCACCACTCTCAATTACCATCATTTTGGGTTTCCGGTCTCAGCACGTCATTTATAGGTTACGGTGTCCTCATGGTTGCACACTTCTTTCAGCTCCTGTTATTCCAGGTGAAGAGAAACCGTATGACATTCTAGAGATGGCTGCATGCAAACATTCACAACCTTTGAGAGAATATAATGCGCCTTGGAGACTATTGTTATGAATATTAGGAGGGTAATAGCAAGAGTTTGGAGTATGTTCCTTATCCAAGGTCCCCATTTTAGAAATAACCCTCAAAATCCTAAGGAAATTGAACACTCAAACAAAGGATTCTTAGCAAAGCAATTTTACTTCTGTGCAGAGGGGTGCCCCCTTGGCCAGTCGCCATGAGAACACACCTGAACAAAGGGGCACGAGAGCCTTTATTCCTAATGCAATTCCTGCCCCTGTACCCTTTCCCCATTGGCTAGGGTTGGTTTGTATAATCTAAACTAATCCCGGTTGGGTAAATATTTGATTTTTTTTAGATAAGGTGGGCACATAAAAGAAAGCAGAGAGGAAAGGGGAAGGGGTGTCTGTAATGAGCTAGGAAGTTAGTCGTCTTTCCAAATAAGGAAAGGAATGTGAGCTGCTACTGATAATGCCTGTTACTGTGGTGTGCCTGGGCATCTAACAAAGGCAAAAAGGAAATAAAAAAGGAGAAAAAGGTAAAAGGGGGGTTACTATGAATTAAAGAATAAAAGATTGATCGGGTTATTTGAAGAGAAATCTCATCATATCCCACACCCATAAATTAAACCTCCTAAAATCAAATGGATCAAAGAATGAACTAGATAAAGAGTTTACTCACTTAACTAAGCAGTCTCTTTGTTAATCCCCTACCACTGAATTTCTATAATCTTCATTTGATGTATTTCTCCATAGGCCACAAGTGCCAGCAGCTGCACACATACTCTTTGTTCAGCCAATTCTATCATAACTTTCACCTAAGAATTTAGAGTTTGTTGTGTAACTGTAGCCTTTACAGTAGAATTTTCTATAGAGCCTACCATGAGGGATATATTTCTAATCATTGCTTCTTTTACTTTAAACCATGGAAAAGGACCTAAAAAATGATGTCCTTTTAGAAGAGTGAAGGCCTTCTGTTAATGTTGTTTTTAACCCATGATGTGGGTTAAGAGGAGTGAATCAATGTTTTGGTTTTGACTGATTATGAGGCAACATATGTACATATGAGGCAACATTAAAGTTTCTTATTTACATTGTGCCTTCATCATTTATCTATCAAAGTTTAAGGTTATCCATGTATAAGGATGGCTGCAAACTCCTTCACAAAAGTACACCCCATTAGTGCACATAACAGACCCCGTTTCCACTTCTATTGTTCATAGAGGCATAAGCAAGAAAAAACATTCAAAGATCAGAGTTTTGTGACAGTAGAAGTCTTAATCTGTGAACTTGGGAAAAGCTGTTCACATCAAGGATGCCATCTTCTTCTTGGGAGAAATTTCCCTGGTTAGCTTTACCTCAAGGGTTCCAATGGGTGCACAGTTCCAAAACGGTGGATGAACCCTTCTCAGTTGTGAAACCATGAACCCGAAGCCCAAAGTCCTGAAGTTTTGTTATAGTATGGATGGCAAGGACAGTCTTTCTCTGATGTTTCCAGAAGATTCAAACCATAGAAAGCTTTCTTCACCTGGTGAAAATACACTGTAGCATAATAATCTACCATTATAACACCAGCCCTCTTGCAGGAGAAATCTATTAGACAACCAGAAAACATGCACTGAAAATTACAATTGAATGAAATATCTTTATAAAATGTTTAATGGCCCACCTGGTGACCAAATGCACCTGAAGCTTTAATTGTTTTCCCAGGAATATGGGGTCAAGCATTGGTTATAAACTATTTTAAACAATTCTGGTATTAGCTGGTTTAACAGTATTTTCTTGATATTTAATAATTTTTGGTTTTACTTGTGAAGGGGTGGGTTGCCCCTCCACACCTGTGGGTGTTTCTCGTAAGATGGAACGAGAGACTTGGAAAAGAAAAAGACACAGAGACAAAGTATAGAGAAAGAAATAAGGGGACCTGGGGAACCAGCGTTCAGCATATGGAGGATCCCGCCAGCCTCTGAGTTCCCTTAGTATTTATTGATCATTCGTGGGTGTTTCTCGAAGACGGGGATGTGTCAGGGTCACAAGACAATCGTGGGGAGAGGGTCAGCAGACAAACACGTGAACAAAGGTCTTTGCATCATAGACAAGGTAAAGGATTAAGTGCTGTGCTTTTAGATATGCATACACATAAACATCTCAATGCTTTACAAAGCAGTATTGCTGCCCGCAGGTCCCACCTCCAGCCCTAAGGCGGTTTTTCCCTATCTCAGTAGATGGAACATACAATCGGGTTTTATACCGAGACATTCCATTGCCCAGGGACGGGCAGGAGACAGATGCCTTCCTCTTGTCTCAACTGCAAGAGGCATGCCTTCCTCTTATACTAATCCTCCTCAGCACAGACCCTTTACAGGTGTCGGGCTGGGGGATGGTCAGGTCTTTCCCTTCCCACGAGGCCATATTTCAGACTATCACATGGGGAGAAACCTTGGACAATACCTGGCTTTCCTAGGCAGAGGTCCCTGCGGCCTTCCGCAGTTTTTGTGTCCCTGGGTACTTGAGATTAGGGAGTGGTGATGACTCTTAAGGAGCGTGCTGCCTTCAAGCATCTGTTTAACAAAGCACATCTTGCACCGCCCTTAATCCATTCAACTCTGAGTTGACATAGCACATGTTTCAGAGAGCACGGGGTTGGGGGTAAGGTTATAGATTAACAGAATCTCAAGGCAGAAGAATTTTTCTTAGTACAGAACAAAATGGAGTCTCCTATGTCTACTTCTTTCTACACAGACACAGTAACAATCTGATCTCTCTTGCTTTTCCCCACATACTTGGGTTAGTAGAATTATACAAGGAAATTCGGTTGTTTCTGTGGTTTACAATAACTTAACATAATAACTATAATTGTGATTGGTAGCATATATTAGACATTAGAATTTTAGAAATCCCATATAATTTCAAAATATATATAAGTACCATTCACAACAATATAACCTAAAGAATATTGAACATCATTTTGGCAATCCCATGTACCTAAACACATCAAATAATCCTGTTTACCTCTTTTCTCGATGTTTTCATGGGCCCTGTGATCCATCCAGAAAGCCAGGCATTAGGAAAGACAATTTTGAAACTGAAGTTTGGTTCTGAAATTCCAGATTATCGTAAATTATTTATTTTGCCAAAATGATGACTCAGAAATTTTAAAGAAGCAAAAATTTTTTATAACCTTAAAAAAATTAAAAACACATTCTATTATTTGTACACACTTTGCATGTAAAACTGTTTCTAATAGTCTTAACTGCATGTTACAATGTCAACTCTTAGCAATTTTAACTTTAATGTAATACCTGGTAAGTTATGTTCTGATAAAGTTTGACTGTTTCCAGCATAGCTAGGTCGTGGTCAACTCCACATATCCCCAGGACTTACGTGGCTGGAAGGCAGGCAAGTTAAACAATTTTCAAAAGCCAAAGAAGCAGTTTATAACCTTAAAGCATTTAGAAAATCTAATATTTGAACATAATTTAGAACACGCTTACATTTTGAAGACAATTGTAATTTTACCAATGATCTTTAAAACTGTCTTTATTTCCCAAAGATCGCTAAACTCATGTGAACTAAAAGGCATTACACTTTCTACTTTTCTGACAAAATATTTACATTCTTATTATTAATCCAATTTGTCAGGCCTCTGAGCTGAAGCTCAGCCATTGTAACCCCTGTGACCTGCACATATACGTCCAGATGGCCTGCAGGAGCCAGTAAGCCTGGAGCAACCCAAAACTACAAAAAAAAAAGTGAAACAGCCAGCTCCTGTCTTAACTGATTGACCAACCTTATGATATTCCATTATAACTTGTTCCTGCCCTGTCCCAACTGATTGATCGACCTTGTGACATTCTTCTTCTGGACAATGAGTCTTATGATCTCCCCACCATGTACCTTGTGACCCTCTCCTCTGCTGACAATAGATAACCACCTCTAACTGTAACTTTCCAGTGCTTACCCTAGTCCTATAAAACTGCCCCACCCCATCTCCCTTTGCTGACTCTCTTTTCAGACTCAGCCCACTTGCACCCAAGTGAAATAAACAGCCTTGTTGCTCACACAAAGCCTGTTGGTGGACTCTCTTCACACAGACGCATGTGACATTTGGTGCTATGACTTGGACCTGGGGACCTCCCTTGGGAGATCAATCACCTGTCCCCCTGCTCTTTGCTCTGTGAGAAGATCCAACTATGACCTCGGGTCCTCAGACCAGCCCAAGAAACACCTCACTAATTTTAAATTGGGTAAGCGGCCTCTTTTTACTCTCCTCTCCAACCTCTCTCAGTATCCCTCAACCTCTTTCTCCTTTCAATTTCGGTGCCACCCTTCAATCTCTCCCTTCCCTTAATTTCAGATTGTTTCCTTTTCTGGTAGAGACAGAGGAGATGTGTTTTATCCATGAACCCAAAACTCCAGCGCCAGTCACTGACTCATGAAGACAGTCTTCCCTTGGGTCTAATCACTGCAGGGACACCTGCCTGATTATTCACCCACATTCCAGTGGTGTTCAATCACCTCAAGGATGCCTGCCTTGATCCTCCACCTTGGTGGCAAGTACCACCTCCTCTGGGTGGCAAGTACCACCCCCCCTCCATGTCTCTACCCCTCTTTTCTCTAAACTTATCTTTTTACTATGGGCAACCTTCCACCCTACATTCCTCCTTCTTCCCCTTTAGCCTGTGTTCTTAAAAATTTGAAACCTCTTCAACTCTCACCTGATCTAAAGCCTAATAAGCATCTTATTTTCTTCTGCAACACCACTTGGCCCCAGTACAAACTTGATAATGGCTCTAAATGGCCAGAGAATGGCACTTTCGATTTCTCCATCCTACAAGATCTAAATAA
The DNA here is from genome assembly GCF_000001405.40 of Homo sapiens. Lineage (NCBI taxonomy): Eukaryota > Metazoa > Chordata > Mammalia > Primates > Hominidae > Homo > Homo sapiens. The sequence continues at coordinate 113,749 of NW_019805499.1, forward strand.
TTTTTGTCATAAAGTGGGAAAATGGTCTGAGGTGCCCTATGTTCAGGCATTTTTTTACACTTCATTCCCTCCCTAATCTTTGTTCCCAATGTGACTTGTCCCAAATCTTCCTTCTTTCCCTCCCGCCTGTCCCTTTGGTCCCAACCCCAAGCTCTGCTGAGTCTTCTGAATCCTCCCTTTCTGCAGACCCCTCTGACCTCTCTCCCCCTCCCCAGGCCACTCCTCAGCAGGCTGAATCAAGTCCCAATTCTTCCTCAGCCCCGGCTCCTCCACCTTACAACCCTTCTGTCACCTCCCCTCCCCACACTGGGTCTGGGTTACAATTTTGTTCTGCGGCAAATACTCCCCCACCTGCCCAAAAATTTCCTCTTCGAGAGGTGGCTGGAGCTGAGGGCATCATCAGAGTGCATGTACTATTTTCTCTATGAGACCTTTCCCAAATTAATCAATGCTTAGGCTCCTTCTCATCAGACCCCACTAAATATATACAGGAATTCCAGTATTTAACCCAGTCCTACAATTTAACCTGGAGTGATTTAAATGTCATCCTAACTTGTACCCTTTCCCCAGATGAGCGGGATAGAGTTTATACCCTAGCCCAATCTCACGCTGACACCCACTGGCATCATGAGCCAGACCTTCAGGAAGGCATCAGGGCAGTTCCCCGAGAAGATCCCCGATGGGAATACCAGACAGGCTCCCTAGGTATAGCTAGGCGAGATTACATGGTCTCTTGCCTAGTTGAAGGGCTTAAAAAGGCAGCTTCCAAAGCTGTTAATTATGACAAACTTACATAAACTACCCAAGGTAAAGACGAAAACCCAGCCCAGTTCCTGGCTTGTTTGGCAGCAACCCTGAGGCTCTTTACAGCCCTAGACCCTGAAGGGCCAGAAGGCCGTCTTATTCTCAGTATGTATTTTATCACCCAGTCAGCTCTTGACATTAGAAAAAAGCTTCAAAAACTGGAATCTGGCCCTCAAACCCCACAACAGGAATTAATCAACTTCGCCTTCAAGGTGTACAATAATAGAGAGGAGGCAGCCAAGTGACAACACATTTCTGAGTTACAGTTACTTGCCTCTGTTCTGAGACAAAACCCAGCCAGACCTCCAGCACCCAAGAACTTCAAAACGCCTAAGCCGCAGTGGTCAGGCATTTCTACGGGACCTCCTCCATCAGGATCTTGCTTCAAGTGCCAGAAATCTGGCCACTGGGCCAAGGAATGCCCACTGCCCATGATTCCCCCCCAAGCCCTGTCCCATCTGTGCAGGGACCCACTGGAAATCCGACTGCCCAGCTCGCCCGGCAGCCACTCCTAGAGCCCCTAAAGCTCTGGCCCGAGGCTCTCTGACCGACTCCTTCCCAGATCTGCTCGGCTTAGTGGCTGAAGACTAACACTGCCCGATCACCTTGGAAGCCCCCTGGACCATCACAGACGCCGAGCCTCGGGAAACTCTCACAGTGGAGGGTAAGTCCATCCCCTGTTTAATCGATATGGAGGCTACCCACTCCACATTACCTTCTTTTCAAGGGCCTGTTTCCCTTGTCCCCATAACTGTTGTGGTATTGACAGTGAAGCTTCAAAACCTCTTAAAACTCCCCAACTTTGGTGCCAACTTGGACAACATTCTTTTTTGCACTCCTTTTTAGTTATCCCCACCTGCCCAGTTCCCTTATTAGGTCGAGACATTTTAACTAAATTATCCGCTTCCCTGACTATTCCTGGGCTACAGCCAAACCTCACTGCCACCCTTTTCCCCAGTTCAAAGCCTCCTTCACATCCCCCTCTTATGTCTCCCTACCTTAATCCACAAGTATGGGATACCTCTACGCCCTCCTTGGCAACCGATCATGCACCCCTTATCATCCCACTAAAACCTAATCACCCTTACCCCGCTCAGTGCCAATATGCCATCTCACAGCAGGCTTAAAAAGGTCAAAGCCTGTTATCACCCACCTGTTACAACATGGCCTCTTAAAGCCTACAAACTCTCCTTACAACTCTCCTATCCTACTTGTCCAAAAACCAGACAAGTCTTACAGGCTGGTCCAGGATCTGTGCCTTATCAACCAAATTGCCTTGCCTATCCACCCAGTGGTGCCAAACACATATACTCTCCTATTCTCAATGCCTCCCTCCACAACCCATTATTCTGTTATGGATCTCAAACATGCTTCCTTTACTGTTCCTTTGCACCCTTCATTCTAGGCTCTCTTCGCTTTCACTTGGACTGACTCTGACACCCATCAGTCTCAGCAACTTACCTGGGCTGTACTGCCACAAGGCTTCAGGGGCAGCCCCCATTACTTCAGTCAAACCCTTTCTCATGATTTACTTTCTTTCTGCCCATCTGCTTCTCGTCTTATTCGATATTTTCACGACCTTCTACTTTATAGCCCCTCCTACATATCTTCCCAACAAGACACTCTCCTGCTCCTCCAACATCTATTCACAAAGGGATATCACGTATCCCCCTCCAAAGCCCAAATTTCTTCCTCATCCATTACGTATCTCAGCATAATTCTTCATAAAAACACACGTGCTCTCCCTGCTGATCATGTCTGGCTAATCTCCCAAACCCCAACCCCTTCTACAAAGCAACAACTCCTTTCCTTCCTAGGCACATTTAGGTACTTTTGCCTTTGGATATCCGGTTTTTCCATCCTGACTAAACCATTATATAAACTCACAAAAGAAAACCTAGCTGACCCCATGGATCCTAAATCCTTTCCCCACTCCTCTGTCCATTCCTTAAAAACAGCACTAGAACTACTCCCACACTAGCTCTCCCTAACTTATCCCAACCCTTTTTATTACACACAGCTGAAGTGCAGGGCTGTGTGGTCAGAATTCTTACACAAGAGCTGGGACTGCACCCTGTAGCCTTTCTGTCCAAACAACTTGACCTTACTGTTTTAGGCTGGCCCCCACATTATTCTTGATACCACACCTGACCCCCATGACTGTATGTCTCTGATCCACCTGACATTCACTTCATTTCCCCGTATTTCCTTCTTTCCTGTTCCTCACCCTGATCACACTTGGTTTATTGATGGCAGTTCCACCAGGCCTAATTGCCACTCACCAGCAAAGGCAGGCTATGCTATAGTATCTTCCACATCTATCATTGAGGCTACCACTTTATCCCCCTCCACTACCTCTCAGCAAGCTGAACTCATTGCCTTAACTCGAGCCCTCACTCTTGCAAAAGGACTGTGTGTCAATATTTATACTGACTCTCAACATGCCTTCCATATCCTGCACCACCATGCTGTTATGTGGACAGAAAGAGGTTTTCTCACTACACAAGGGTCCTCTATCATTAATTCCTCTTTAATAAAAACTCTTCTCAAGGCCGCTTTACTTCCAAAGGAAGCTGGAGTCCTTCACTGCAAAGGCAATCAAAGGGCCTCAGACCCCACTGCTCAAGGTAACACTTATGCTGATAAGACGGCTAAAGAAGCAGCCAGTATTCCTACTTCTGTCCCTCATGGCCAGTTTTTCACCTTCTCGTCAGTCACTCCTACTTACTCTCCAACTGAAAATTCCTCCTTCCAGCCTGACAGGCTCATTCCATTCTATCATCCTTTCATAACCTCTTCCACGTGGGTTACAAGCCACTAGTCCACCACTTAGAACCTCTCATTTCCTTTAAGACATTTGCCCTGCATTTCACTCCATCCTTGGCTACCTTCCTCTTGTTCTTCAGACTGTCCTCCCAGCCCCCTTTCTTGTTTACTTATACCCAGCCCCATGAATAGCAATGAAAGGTTGCTTACAGACACTGTGCGCTTTCTCATACACCATAAAAATCAAATCTCCCCCTTTATCCAGTTGCCTCATCAATCCCCATTACAACCTCTAACGGCTGCTGCGCTTGCTAAATCCCTAAGAGTCTGGGTGCAAGACACCTCTTTTGCTGCTCCCTCTCATCTTTTCACTTTACATTTCCAGTTTTGCCTTAGAAAAGTCTCTTCTTCCTCTGTGGCTTCTCCACCTACATGTGTCTACCTATCAATTGCACAGGCACATGTACACGAGTTTTCCTTACCCCCAAAAATCAATTCGCAAACAGGACCGAACAGCTTCCTGTTCCCCTCATGACACCAACACTTCACTACTATTTTGTTTTGTTTTTCTTATTATTAATATAAGAAGACAGGAATAGGCCTCGACTTACTCACTGCTGAAAAAGGAGGACTCTGTATATTTTTAAATGAAGAGTGTTGTTTTTACCTAAATCAATCTGGCCTGGTATATGACAACATAAAAAAAAACTCAAGGATAGAGCCCAAAAACTCGCCAATCAAGTAAATAATTACTTTGAACCCCTTTGGGCACTCTTTAGTTGGATGTCCTGGGTCCTCCCAATTCTTAGTCCTTTAATACCTGTTTTTTTTCCTTCTGTTATTTGGGCCTTGTGTCTTCAGTTTGGTTTCTCAATTTATACAAAACCGCATTCCGACCATCACCAATCATTCTATAAGACAAATGCTACTTTTAACAACCCCACAGTACCATCCTCTGCCCCAAGATCTCCCCACTACCTAAATTCCTATGCCTTGTAACTCATTATAAAATTTTCTTTAAGGTGTCCATGCAGTCCCTGGTCATGCTTGAAGCAGTCCCGAGAAACATCACCCCTACCCTAATAATCCCCAGTAAAACTTATATTTCTTTATCTTTTCTTATAACTTTATATTTTATAAGTAAAAAGACAGGAATGTCAGGCCTCTGAGCTGAAGCTCAGCCATTGTAACCCCTGTGACCTGCACATATATGTCCAGATGGCCTGCAGGAGCCAAGAAGTCTGAGGCAACCCAAAACTACAAAAAAAGTGAAACAGCCAGCTCCTGTCTTAACTGATTGACCAGCCTTATGACATTCCATTATAACTTGTTCCTGCCCTGTCCCAACTGATTGATCGACCTCATGACATTCTTCTTCTGGACAATGAGTCTTATGATCTCCCCACCATGCACCTTGTGACCCCCTCCTCTGCTGACAACAGATAACCACCTCTAACTGTAACTTTCCACTGCTTACCCCAGTCCTATAAAGCGGCCCCTCTCCTATCTCCCTTTGCTGACTCTCTTTTCAGACTCAGCCCACTTGCACCCAAGTGAAATAAACAGCCTTGTTGCTCACACAAAGCCTGTTGGTGGACTCTCTTAACACGGACTCGCGTGACACAATTAATTTAAAACTTAACAGTGGCGATTAACCAGTTTGCACAGAGAGAAAGAGACCAGAGACTGATGTAAGAAATTCTTACCCTTCTGCCTGCATGCCGGGTTTCTGGGTTCTCTCTCCCTGAGCACCCCTGGTGACCCTGCCTGACTGTATACAAACAAACACATTGCCATGAATCAAGAATATTCACAAACACTTTACAAATTTTGAAGAAACTAGGCAGAGAGAGAGATAAATATGACTCAAATTCTATTTGTGAGAGTACACTCAACACACTTCAAGTATCAGGAAACCTAAAATCCAAAGTTTGTTTAAAGATAAAAACCTGGTGTATTCCATTAATTCCTGTAGCCCAACAAAGGTAGCTTTAGGAATTCCAGATAAATGGAATGAATGACCACTTGCTAGAAATGCATAGGAAACAAAATAACTATTCACAGAACCAAATAAAAGCCTTCCACTAGCATGGGTTTATATTATATAGAGAGACACACAAGCAAACCAAAGGAGAATAACAGCAAACCAATGAAAACTAGAAGAGAAAACAAATAAACCAAAAAACAAACCTAAATTTTCATACTCAACTTACCCTGGAAACTACAGTGTTACCTAGGGCCCCCCAAAACCCATATAATGAACATTTTATTCCTGATATACAATTCAATATCCTTAAGTTCACCAATATCATTAGACATTCTGTGCAATCAAGAAATCCACTTCAGGCAGATGACCAATAAGTGCTCCAGCACTATTCACGGAAAATGGTGAACAGAGTGAAGTGATGCAAGCATGTGTGTGAACATTGGTTTTACGCTAAATTCAGCTTCATGCTTAACTATAGTAAAAAAAGAATTGCGAAACTGCCGATGCATTTTTACAATACTTCTTACCTTAATCAACACTAAGAGTTTTAACTATGAAAATGTTAATTAGCCAAATGTTTCCAATTCTTTATCATGTTTTGAGGAATATTTTATTATTTAAACTTTTTCCACTCCTTTCTCCCCTACTTAATGATTCCTTACTACACTGATTCATAAATAACCTTTTCAAATCTGTAATTTGAACTAACTTTTATACAACTTCAGAATTAGACAAAATTATTCTTTTTTCCACCAATAAGCCTTTCTGGCACATTTTGTATACAGAATTATGTGCTAACTAGAATTTTATATTTAGTAACCTAAAACTTTAGTGAAACCCTAAAAAGCAAACCCTGAACTATTAGATATGGGCATTTATAGACAGGAATAATTCCACAATTTTAGCAACATGCTTCTCCATATTACTACCCATTTTTAATTGGAAATGACCCAGATATCAAATGAGCATTAAAAATAACTTTAAGATTTTAATTTACACAAAAAGTTTACTTAAAATAATTATCCTCTTCACTGTACTCAATTTTTTATTTTTAACAAGGGAGATGTCAATCAACATATGTCAAATGAACGTTGGTTTGGCCCAGAAAGGTGGGACAACTCAAGGAGAGGAGGGGGCTTGGGGCTTTCAGATCATGGGTGGGAGACAAATGGTTGCATTCCTTTGACTTTCTGATTAGCCTTTCCAAAGGAAGCAATCATATATGCATTTATCTCAGTGACACTTTGAATAGAATGGGAGGCAGGCTCGCCCCTAGCAGCTCCCAGCTTGGACTAACACTAACATTTTTAAATATCTAGCAAAGACAAACATAAAATTCAGACAAAATGTATGCTGACAATTCTGATGGCATTTCTCTTTTTATTCCACCAATAATTGTAAAGCCAGCTTGTTTAATAAAGTTATACTTAAGTCATGTGAACTTGAAAATTGCTCAGACTTATTTACTTAATTTATGAGCATTCTTTTACTTATAACCAATTTGGAAGACACAATATATAACAATAAGTGTATATACAAATAATCACATCTAGACATGTATACACACACATAAACGAAGATCCAATAGCTTGGAACCTTGGCCGTGAGATAGCAATACAAGCTTGCCAGTTTTACTTTGCCCCAATAGATAATCCAAGGAAGGCTGAGAACCAAAATTTTGGGTAAATCAGTCTCCATGGCAGTTTGATTTTTAAAGGCTAAACCTCCCCAGACTCCAAGGAGCACTGGGGCCAAACAGTACCAAAGGAGGGCGTCACACGTTAACCAGGCTCCCTGCTTAGAACAGCAGCACAAAAGCCTGAATACATGCAATGCCATCCCACTTTCCAATTCGACAGCAAACTTCAGATTCTAAGCAATTTTGGGGCCAAGCAGCATTGCAACTGTGAGAGAAAATTCCAAAGAGGTCTTATTACTAGATCTCAGAACCTCTGCCAGGAGCATCCTCTTTGGAGAGTTTGAGGTCTGGAGGATCCCCAGGAGTGTCCACTTGTGGGGTCTAATCTTAGCGCTCCAGAGGTCTCTGGCCTTAGGTGGGCACTGGTGCCACTTTGCAAGCATTCCCTCCAGAGCCTACTATGAGCTTTCCTTTGGTACCTGGGTGTAATCCCCAAATTTTAGCATCCTTATAATTTGATAAGGCCTTATAATTAGAGACGCTTTTCCATGCTTCTCATTCCATGAACTTTAATGATAGGAACTGGAGGCTGGGTGGGTTTCCTTCACCCTTAGCCAGTTGAATAGGGGAAGGGAAGAATTTAGCATAGGAAAAGAAGGTTTAAGTCACCTGAAACATGTGCGGGTTTGCTCTGAGCTGTGCCACATATAGGGATCAGGGACCACACACCGAAAATACATTAAAAAGAGCCTTCCCCCTTCGGGGCAGGCCAATTATTCCCATTCATTCTTAGGCCTTCAGGCAATACCAGGGAGTGACCCCAGCCAATTGCCCTCAATTTCCAAGGAAGTACTAGGAGACAGCCATTGAAAGACTGAAAATGAAAGTGGAAAAAAAATGAAAGAGATCCACATTCCTTAAGTGAACCGGGTGGTGGGGGTCAGGCTTCTCCACATGGAAACCCCTTAGTTTCACTGACCATGGCCAGAAATTTGAAGTTGCTTCCATGTTTAGACGCTGCCCACCAAGGGTCCCGGGTTGGAAAGGAAAGGAGAGAGAAAGAGATTCCCCTGTATGGAGCAGAAAAGAAAAGGAGAAAGGAGAAGAATAAATCCCAAATTTTGGGCTTACCTCTTCCTCCTTCCCGGGTCACCAAAATATGTTAACGGCAGAGGTTGTTCAGGTTCTTGGGGATATTTAAACTCCCCAAAATTCTACAATGGGGCCTTTGAGCCCCTCTGCTCAGGCCCACTCCCACACTGTGGAGTGTACTTTCATTTTCAATAAAACCCTTCATTCCTTCTTGCTTTGTTTGTGCGTTTTGTCCAATTCTTTGTTCCATTGGTTGCTTTGGGTACACCCTATATAAATGGGGAGGAGGAAGTAAAGTTACAAAGTCATTTACCGCATACACCCTACGGAGAGGATATTTCCTGTTATAGCTGAAGTGTGAATCAGCCTTATGCTCCCTGCCTCCAGACCCTATTTTCCTGCCTCAAAATGAGCTTTGAAAAACCCCCAGTCTACCAGCCTTTGATGAGATTGATTTAAGTAATAACTCTCTCCCATGTGGCATGGCTGGCCTCATGTCAATTACATTTTCTTTGCTGCAATGCTGTGCTGTGAATTGATTTTGTTTGTGCAGCAGGCAGGAAGAACAGGTTGGGTGGTTATATCAGCCTTTCCACAAACAGATAAACAAACCAATGGGCCAAGACACCCAGTATTTATCACTTTTTTTTCTCTTAAAATGTGGAGTTGAGTCCTCAGCAGTGAAACATTGGTATACCATTTATAAACATTACAAAATCTTTCAAATGGTATTTTAAGGGCACCCTTATATTTTCTGCACCTCTTCTACACTTACAATGTTGTAAACAATGGGTGGGTAATGAAACAGTTTTCTGAGCCAGCTAGTGTTCTCCTCCAAGAAGGCATCATTGTTTCTGTGAATGCTTCAACATTTTATTTTCATTACAGAGAAAACAAAGCAGAGTAAAATAAAACAAAATGAAAACAAACACACATGCACTGTGCAGAACTATTTACCTGCCCTGCATTCATCCTACTTTTTCTCTCTAGAACACGCATTTCTGCAGATTTCTATCTGACTCAATGCCTCACATTGGGAAAAATTTCATTGCATATAAACACAAGATAGCAAAAAACTACTTAGTGACTGCCTGCTTGCAGTAGGCAACTGTGACTTGCTGTTTTTGTTTTGTTTCTATTCTCTCTCTTACCACAATTAATCCCCCTTTTGAAATTAGCACTTGATTTTTTTTTTTTTTTTTTTTTTGTAGATTCACCTTCTCCCTTGTCACCCTCCATCCCTGCAGCTCCATGCATCTCCTTCATATGGGGCTGACTTCAACCTCAGGATGCAGGGAAGTCACCTAACCCAGGCCTGACCAATCAGGGCGTCACACCTCTTAGAGAGTATTTAAAGGGCAGGCCTGATGGCCAATGAGATCTGTTCCTGGGGCTTTGCTGAGAATACTGAGGGAAGTTGTCCTTCCTTCCATCAGTTTTCTCTGCTGATAGATGAATAGCTTGGAGCTGCCGGTGTTTATCTTGTGTTATTTGGGAAGCATCTACCTGAAAATTACAGAATAAAATAGAACCAAATATGAAAATTCCATTACCTGAAGACATTTTTGATAACCTGGTCCTCTCTTGTACCTTTCAGCTGCGTAAGAAAATGCATTGCCTTATTTGTGTGTTCATGTATGTCTTTCTTTACAGGCTTCATCACAGTGGAGCTAGGTCTTGGTCACTTTCATCTGAGACCTGACAAGTACGCTCATCACACACTCTGCACCTTACTGTGTTCACCCCATTCTATCCATTCTGCCTCTGTGTTTTGAAAACTTGCTTCTTATTCTCAAGATACCTTCCCCTTTTTTCAGACTGGTAGCATCACAGCTATTCAAATAAATGCTCCCTCTTCTACCACTCTCCCTGGATGGGCCAATGGTCTGCCCTTTAGCTTTCACAGCTTTGGTGTACTGCACTAGACTATGAGTGACCTGGGGTGGAGACTGTGTCTGAGTCATCTTTGCAGCACCCACCACAAAATGTTCGTGCTGAACAAGCAGAGGAGGCTCCACATCCTGTTCTTTACAGATTTTGATTACTGTCAGGTGCCTGGCTGGCTGAAAAAAAAAATTCTTCCATTTTCCTGGCTTTCTGAGTGTCTTTCTTTTCTGGATGTTCATTAGGACATGGGCTCAGCCACACCAAGCTCATGCAGTCCTGTTGCTTCAGGGGATGTTCAGCATCAAGGTAGCTGCAAAAAAAGGAAGGCAGATAGTTATGAATCTACCTTTTAGTCTCTTTCTGCCTTAACATACCATAATTTTGAAGAGGTTTTGTATGCCCTTTACTTCAATGTGCTTGTGTCTGAGGGAAATATTGAGATACAGACATCCGGCAGAAAATGTTTCCTGGCATTGGAATCCTGCAAACATCCACCTCTTCTGTTTACCCCAATGCTGCTGTTAGTGAGGGGAACAGGGAGAGACCCTGAGACAGCCTGAGAGTCACCTACAGGAAGAGACAGGGCTTCTCCTGAAGAGGAAGTCACTGGGGTCTGGCAAGCAGGTCAGCTCACTTCATTACCACCTGGGGCCCAGGTCTCTTTCTATCCCTCATGGAGTGGTTCCCAGCTCTAATAATGAAAACACTTAAGGAGCTTTCTAAAACAAAGATTCCTGAGTCCTATCCCAGATTTAGAGGTCTGAAGATCTAGCAGTAGTCACCTGGGGAGTTCATTTTTTTTTTTTACAAAGCTCTGCAAGTTTGACAACCACTACCTTAAAACACACACTTCTACCATTTCAGTCAATTAAAGATGCAATATTAAGATATTCTCTGCACCTCACAGAAAACCAGAGCACGAAGGCCTTTAATTTCCCAGGATTGGCCCATGTTACAGAAAGGAATCCTAACAGATTTGAACATCTTCTGTTGTACCATACTAGGGTGCTTGGAAAATATGTTGTTTTCTGTCTCTCTCCAGGCATACACGTAAGAGAGCACTTCACAAAATTATTGACTGAGAAGTGGTCATGTGTCTTGTTTTGGCCAATTAAATGTGAGCAGAAATCATGTGGGTCACTTCCAGGTGTAAGATATTAGAGGCCTGCATGCTTCATCTTACTCGTTTGTCTCTCTTTGCCATGACAGCCAACAATCTTCCGGAAAGGCAATGCCTAGTAAGTCTGGCTCAGAGGTCAGGACAAGCAATGTCATTGTGGAGCAGCCTCCTGAGGTTAATGAGAAGCCTGAAAATCCTAAGTAATCTCCAAAAACCTTCTAGAATTAATGCGTGAATTTAGCAAGGTCTCAGAATACAAGGTTAACCCCCAAATCTACCAAATTTCTATATCTTACCAGTGTATAATTAGAAACTCAAATTAAAACACACACACACCCCACTGCTATGTAGAATAGCTCCCCTAAAGTGAAATACATTGATATAGATTTAACAAGACATGTAAAGGTTGGTATGTTGGAAATTACAAATGCTGATAACAGAATCAGTGACTACCTACATAAAATGAGAACTAATTCATGTCAACATAGTAAAGATGTTACTTTTCCCCAAATGGATCTTTAAATTTAATGCAATACTACTTAAAATCCCACCAGGATTTTTATAGTTATAGATATGCTAATTCTATAATATATATGGAAAACAAAATGAATTAGAAGACCAAAACAATGTCGAAAATCAAAAAAGTAGTTGGAAGAAGCCATACCCAATTTTAAGACTTACTATTAATTGATAGTAATCAAGACATTGGTGCACTAAGGAAGAGATGGCTACTCCCAGGACCCAGACTGTGATCTCTAAATGCTATTGACCAGTAAAGAGAACCAGAGCCCCAAAAGGAAATGGCTGATTCCAAATATTGGTCTGAAAAGGTACAAAATGAACCTGTATATCTTGTTATGATTGAAAGCAAGGACATTGTCAACTATTAATGCAATTTAGTCAAAAAAGATACAGGGATCTGACCATCCCTTTATACAGGCCATCCCTCTGGATAAAGAAGTGACCATCTGAGGATTAAAAAAAAAAGATACTGGCAATGCTTTGTAACACACAAAACATAGCCAACACGAGTAACGTTTTGAGCTTACTAGATTACCATGTTACCATTTTGACTTTCAGAACTGTAATATTGGCCAGGCGCGATGGCTCACACCTGTAATCCCAGCACTTTGAGAGGCCAAGGCGGACAGATCACTTGAGGTCAGGAGTTCAAGACCAGCCTGGCCAACATGGTGAAACCCCGTCTCTACAAAAATACAAAAATTAGCCAGGTGTGATGGCAGGTGTCTGTAATCCCAGCTACTCGGGAGGCTGAGGTGGGAGAATTGCTTGAATCTGGGAGGCGGAGGTTTCAGTGAACCGAGATCGTGCCATTGCACTCCAGTTTGGGTAACAGAGTGAGACTCTATATCAAGAAAAAAAAAAAAGAACTGTCATATAATAAATTTATATTGTTTTTAGCCACTACATTTGTTACAACTTATTAGGGTAACGTTAAGAAACTTTTCTATTTTCCGTAGAGGCCCCGGAGCTCCTTAGCTTTGGGATAAACTGGTGCTTACCCCAACTGTGGGGTCAGAGCGTGGAAGTGAGAGAAGGGAAAGACCATCATGGTCTGCTGTGGTCAGGGAAGGCTTCCTGGAGGAGGAGAAAGTGGAGGAAGCAGCTGAGCCTGGAGGGATGGGGTCACTACCTTTAAAGCATCTGTCAGCCATGGGGATCTGATGGTTTTTTTATTTTTTATTTTTTATTTTTATTATTATTATTATTTTTTTACAAACCCTTGTGTGGAGATCTGACTTTCAATAGATCGCAGCGAGGGAGCTGCTCTGCTACGTACGAAACCCCGACCCAGAAGCAAGTCGTCTACGAATGGTTTAGCGCCAGGTTCCCCACGAACGTGCGTTGCGTGACGGGCGAGAGGGCGGCCGCCTTTCCGGCCGCGCCCCGTTTCCCAGGACAAAGGGCACTCCGCACCGGACCCTGGTCCCAGCGCGGGGCGGGGCGGCCCGCCGGCGGGGACCGGCTATCCGAGGTATCCGAGGCCATCCGAGGCCAACCGAGCCGACCGAGGCCAACCGAGGCCATCCGAGGCCGACCGAGGCCGACCGAGGCCGACCGAGGCCGACCGAGGCCGACCGAGGCCATCCGAGGCCGACCGAGGCCGACCGAGGCCGACCGAGGCCGACCGAGGCCATCCGAGGCCGACCGAGGCCAACCGAGGCGCCGCGGGGCTGCCGTATCGTTCCGCCTGGGCGGGATTCTGACTTAAGAGGCGTTCAGTCATAATCCCACAGATGGTAGCTTCGCCCCATTGGCTCCTCAGCCAATGGGATCTGATTTTTTAAGCAGTCACAACACTAGACTTTTAATTGAGAAAGCTCTGTAAGCAATTAAAAGCCGCTGTTGTTTTAAACTCTTCTTGTGTCACCTGCTGGCAATGAGGAAAATGATACATCACCTCAACAAAATGCCTCAGTGAGTTGGTACACATTTTTTATTTGCATTTTTATTTGCACATATTCTAAGATACAACCATGTCAAAGCTTCCAATTATCTTTTTTTGTTTGGTTTTGTTTTTTGAGACGGAGTCTCCCTCTGTCACCCAGGCTGGAGTGCAGCGGTGTGATCTAGGCTCACTGTAAACTCCTTCTCCCGGCTCAAGCAATCCACTCACCTCAGCCTCCTGAAGAGCTGGGACTACAGGCACCCACCACCACACCTGGAGAATTTTGTTTGTTGTTTGTTTGGTTTGAGACAGGATCTCACTCTGTTATCTAGGCAGGAGTGCAGTGGCACAGTCTCAGCTCACTGCAACCTCAGCCTCCTGGATTCAAGCGATTCTCCTGCCTCAGCCTCCCAAGTAGCTGGGATTACAGGCACCCGCCACCATGCCTGACTAATTTTTTGTATTTTTAGTAGAGATGGGGTTTCACCACGTTGGCCAGGCTGGTCTTGAACTCCTGACCTCAAGTGATCCGCCTGGCTCGGCCTCCCAAAGGGCTGGGATTACAGGTGTGAGCCACCATGCCAGGCAAATGTAATTATGTTTGACCTCACAAATTTACTTTCAAATATATGGTGAGGGTTAGACCCTTGCTACATAGCAGGAGGCACTCAGGAAAGCAGGTATGGTGCCTGCATTGACTGACGTTGAAACCTAAGGGAAGTGACAGGCAGCAAAGAGTTGCCCTATAATAAATGAGTGGTCTTGCAATAACTCTGTTGTGAGATAATGTCAGTGGAGGCCCCTGTTGAATTATGCAGCCCAATGTGGGATAGAGTGGAAGAAGGAAGGGGAGAGACATCCAGAGATGGGGTTTGGCATCATCTCTCAGAGGCTGGGAGAGACCCAGTCCAAGCCCACATGCTCAGCCATCTTAATTTATTGACAAATGGAAAAAAAAATGTACAATGTATTATACTTTAAATGCTTCCATTAAAAAGATTCTTATTTCTGATAGGTGCATGCAAGTATAACTGTCTTTCAAAATATTAACAAATACATTTATCTGTGGCTGTGGGTCAGTTAGAAACCTGCATCTAATGTGTTTTCTTCCTACTTTCTCTCTGCCCCACTCCATAATCGGCTGTGGATCTTAAATGGCATGACTGAGCCTCAGATTGGGTGATTTAGACAGTAGAGATGCCAATTTTTAAAAATGAAATGAACCTTGAGTACAGAAGGATAGATTTCTTGTAAAACCAAAATGGTACTATCTTCTACCAAAGAATTAAGGCTGCAAAGATATATTGTTCCTCTGTACATCAGTCATGATTGACTTATAGATTAGGAAATAGAGCCAGGTTAGGTGGCAGATCACGTGAGGTCAGGAGTTCAAGACCAGCCTGGCCAACATGGTGAAAACCTGTCTCTACTAAAAATAAAAAATTAGCTGGGTGTGGTGGCAGGCGCCTGTAATCCCAGCTACTCGGGAGGCTGAGGCATGAGCATCACTTGACCCCGGGAGGCAGAGGTTGCACTGAGCCGAGATCATGCCACTGAACTTTAGCCAGAGTGACAGAGTGAGACTCCATCTAAACACACACACACACACACACACACACATACACACACACAAGATTAGGAAATAGAGCCTGAGTCTCTTTTTTATTATAACCAGCAAGGGTGAATGGGAATAAATAATCATATTTTCTCTTTGCTTTGCACCATTATGCCATTACCCAACTTGGTGGGCAGTTTCAGGAATGCCCCTGGAACCTATTAACAGTGAATTATTTATCTTAACAGCTGCTATGAAGCGCATTCCAGCAGTTGCTCCATGAAGGACATCTCACAGTTTTTGAACTTTGCTGAAGGCCCATGTAAGAAACAAAATTCATCATCAGATGAAAGAGATTTCTTTCCTCGTTTTCAAATATAAAAACATAGTCACACACAGAGTTCTTCCACAGGGAAAGCCAAAATTCCAATCTTAGCTATGTTTGCAAGATAGCACTCTCATTGCCACTGTGTTCTGTGCAATATTTAGTCTAATGTGGAAACAGAAGTGGTAGGTTCTGCCCACCACAATGGCAGACACTCCGAGTTTCAGTCATATGTTAGGATTCATCGCTTTAAACAGAAGAAATCTCAGGCAATGTCCCTCCAGTACCAGTCTGCCTCCCTTTATTTCTAAAATGCTGTGTATGAACATGCATACTTTAATATTAACCAAGGAAAACTTTACTAGAAAGTCAAAATAATGAAAACTTCAAAAGAAACGACTTCAGATACTTTGGATTTCTTTTTTTTTTTTTTTGCCCCTTTCCACATCAAAACATATCCATTCAGTGTGTCACTTCCTCAATACCCCTCTCTGTCATTTCCAAGATAAAAGCTCCATAATGGAAAAACTGATTTGAAATAATATGTTCAATAATTGTTAGCAGATTGACCAAATTCAGATGTCAGTTTCCATTTTAATGGGAGCTTTTTGGGAACATAAGGGGGACTGTGTTGGTGGAAATTTTAGGAACAGTCACAAATATGGTAGTAAGAAATATGGTCTGGATAGTGCTATATTTCCTGACAACTTCAGTAAAAAGCAACCATCTGAAGTTCTTTGTTTTAATAGTTGTGTTCCATCTTTTTTTTGGTACCATCTCAGGAGATGGAAGTTGAAGTTGATATACCCCTTCAGATGTCAAGATCTTTTTAACCAAACAATGTTTTTCTAACACTTTCACGCCTTCCTCATCCTACATTCAGTTGGTGAGTAGTGGGAGCAGGAGAGAGGAAAGCACATGAGATGATAATGCTTCTTCAATTTCCATGGGCGTTTCCTGCTCCGAGAACAAGGGCATATCTGCATGAGAAGGTCAGAGTAACTCAGCCTCCACCCACACCTGCACAAACACGTGCACACTATTCCACAGAGAGCCAAACATCAGTCAATGAGGATGTTTAAAGCGCTGAATCTCCCCAGCACTTTGGGAGGCCGAGGCGGGCGGATCACATGAGGTGGTGAGTTCAAGACCAGCCTGACCAACATGGAGAAACCCCGTCTGTACTAAAAATGCAAAATTAGCAGGGTGTGATGGCGCATGCCTGTAATCCCAGCTACTTGGGAAGCTGAGGCAGGAGAATTGCTTGAACCGGGGAGGCGGATGTTGCGGTGAGCTGAGATTGTGCCATTACACTGCAGTCTGGGCAACAAGAGCGAAACTCCATCTCAAAAAAAAAAAAGCTGACACTAGTGAAATTCCTGTGGGCAGGCATGGATCTTAAGTTGTCTTCCATTGAATTCCATTTAGGAATGTGGAGCTGTAGACACGTGAACACAGAGAGAAATCTCCAGATGAATAATACATGCACCTAAGCCCCTGCATAAATACACAAGAATGGCAGTTACTTAAATTTCTGATATATTGAGGAAATAAAAAGTTAATACCAATTTGCATTACCAGAGACTTGGCTATTGCTAGTTCTGGAAAAAAAAAAGATAAAAAGAGTGGAGTGATGAGATGATAAATTGCACTTTCAACCACTGCAAAGCATTGAATGCGGCTTGTCCTGGCTGCTCTACAGTTACATATTCACCTAGCAAATATGTATCCAGAATTTGCAAAGTACACTGTTAGCCCCATGCTTTAGATGAGTTGGATGCATTTGCATCAGATCAATAGGTTAATGAGGGAATCTCTGACTTTGCACCATGGTGCCCGTAATGAATGTCTGCCTTGTTTCCTGCAGCCAAGCCCCATCCTCTGGTCCTCCAACCATCTTTGAGCAGGGGCTCCTTGCCTGCCCTTTCAGCTTCCCGAGGTCTAGGCTTCTTCTCAGACCCTCATTCTCTCCTCCCAGGTCTGAACCTCAGTCTGAACATCAAGGCTCTGATGCCACACAGGGACCATATAGACACCCACTGGCTGGCACTGCCCCTCAACTCCTCCTGCGGGGACTCCCTTGGTTCCTGTCCTGTCCCCAGGGGTCTGGTCTCTGGGTCCTTTCTGCCCAAATGCAGCTCCCCCCACCACCAGCCAGGGCAAGCGGAAAAGAAGAGATTAGGCAACTCTATTTTGTTTTCCAATCTGTGGTGAGCAGTCAGTTGTTGCTACTTCATTCTTAGCATATGTCTTAGTTGGAATTCTTCCCAAAGCAGACACTGATACAGGGACTTAGGTTGAGGTGAAAGTGGACCCAAGAAATCACAAGTGAGAGAATGGGGGAAGTGAGATGGGGGAAAGAGGAAGTCAACAGGTATGTGTCAAAGGGTGTCTGCTCCTATGTCGCTGGGGCCCACATTCCACTGGGAACCTTCTAAGGAATGATGCATGATGTGCCTCAGAAAAGATGCTCTGTGGGACAGAGACACTGGGCTGTCTGTCCAGGACTCGTCCCTCCCTTTGGCTGAGAGTTGCTTTTGGCAGCATTTCCAAGCTATCTTGCACCAGGCTGAGCATCTTCTGCAAGGCTGGAGAAAGCTCCCAGGCAAAGATGTACAAGGATCCAGGAAGCTTCCAGAGTGCAAAGAAACTGCCCTCCATGGCTCTGGATGGAATCGAAACTCCACAGCTCTGGATGGATTTGAAAGTGGGCTCAGCAGCTGTGGGGCAGGGCACTACCGATAACTGTGACAGCACAAGTTCCCGTCTCACACCTGCTGTTGCCTCTGCCAGAAATGTTCTTCCCTCACATCTGAAAGAGCCTCCCCTTTAACTGCAGGCATCTGCTCAAATGTCCCCTCCCAGTGGCATCTTCTCTAACCATCCTGTTGAAAATAATATGCCTTAAACCCCAGAAAAACATCCCATCATTTCTACTCATCTTGTAAATGATACACATGTGATAGATGTGTGTGTGTGTGTGTGTGTGTGTGTGTGTGTGTGTGTGATCTCTCCCTCTCCAGCAATGTTAGTTCCGAGAGGGCAGGGACCAAACACACAAAGCCTCCTCTACTTGTAGGGTTTCTATTCTGAGGACTGGAGAAAGGGAGAACAGAAATAAAGGAGAAGATAATCATGTGGCTTGTTATAAAGAGATGCGTACTGTGGAGCAAAGGAAAGAGTAGAATAAGGCGACTGAGAATGCATGCAGGCTGGGCAGGGCTGTGGCTTCAATTTTAAACCATGCTGTGAGGGTAAACCATGGGACATGTGACTTTTTTTTTTTTTTTTGATGGAGTTTCACTCTTGTCACCCAGAGTGGAGTGAGTGCAGTGTTGCGATCTCAGCTCACTGAACCTCCGCCTCCCATGTTCAAGCGATTCTCCTGCCTCAGCCTCCTGAGTAGCTGGGATTACAGGTGCCCACCACCATGCCTGGCTAATGTTTGTATTTTTAGTAGAGACGGGGTTTCACTATGTTGGCCAGGCTAGTCTCGGACACCTGACCTCAGGTGATCCACCCACCTTGGCCTCCCAAAGAGCTGGGATCACAGGCGTGAGTCACGGCGCCCAGCCAGATATGACTTTTGAGCAATGACTTGTTGAGCTAGACCATGTGCCTGGCAGAGGGAATGGACACTGCCCAGGCCCTGAGTGGGGAGCAGGCCCAGTGTGTTCCCAGAAAGGCCAGGCCGGGAAGTCAGTGTGGGCAGAACACAGTCAGGAAGAGAGTAGGAGGAGAGATGCTCAAAAAGGCCTGGGAGGAGATCATGTGTAGCTTTGAAATATATTAAAAGAGATACGGAGCCGAGATCCCGCCACTGCACTCCAGCCTTGGCGACAGAGCAAGACTCCGTCTCAAAAAAAAAAAAAAAAGAGAGAGAGAGAGAGAGGTACAGTCTCTTGGGATCTACCAGAGCTTGCTTCCAGGAACTCCAGCAGATACTGACATCTGGGGATGCTCACATCCACTCTCCAAATTTACAATCTTTGCATCCAGCAAATACCGTTTTTGAATTTGAGATGCAAAACCTGTGGGTACGGAGGGCTCACTGTAAAATGACACTGAGCTTTACTCTGAGTGTAATGGGATGGCACTGCCTCATGTTCTCTCTAGGAGGGGCCCCCTGGCTGCTGCCACACCCTTGAGTGTGCATGGGGGGATGGGGGATGATATGTTAACTACATTTGTCAACTTGACTGGGCTCAGGGGTGCCCAGATAGCTGGTAAACATTATTTCTGGGTGTGTCTGGAGGATGTTTCTGGAAGACATTAGCATTTGAGTTGGTGGGCTGAGTTAAGAGGATTTACCCTCACCAATGTGGGTGAACATCATCTAATTTTTTGAAAGCCTAAAAAAAACCAAAATAGCAGAGGAAGAGTGAGTTCTCTTCTCTCTCTTTTTGAGCTGGGATATCCATCTTCTCCTGCGCTGGGATGTCAGAGTTCCTGGTTTTTGGGCCTTCAGACTTCTGGACTCTGGAATACAACAGAGCTCTCCTGGTTCCCAGACTTTCAGACTCAGACTAAATCAAAGCATCTGCTTTCTTCATTCTTCAGCTCACAGATCATGGGACTTCTCAGCCTCCATAATACTGTGAGCTAATCCCCATAATAAATCTCCTTTGATGCATCTAGGCCTGTCCTATCTGTGCTGCTTCTCTGGAGTACCCTGACTCATCAAGGGGTCAAGGGTTGAAGCAGGGAGACCATCATGGGTGCACTGCAGAATCCAGGGGAAAGGCCATGGTGGATGAGAACCGGGAGTAGCAGGGCGGCGGTGAGAAGTGGTCAGAATCTGTGTATATTTGGAGGAGGTGGCAAGAGGATTTCCTGACAGATTGGATAGACAGATTGGATAGAAATGAATGGGGCAAAAGTGAGTTAGAGGCTTTGACCTGGAAGGACAGAGATGCCATCAACTGAGATGAACTGGCTGCCAGGGACCCCAGATGTGACTGTGGTTAGAGTGGGGAGGGGCCAGTGCTTATAACTCTGTTTCTGCAGGGATCCCCAGTTCTACTCTGGCACCCCAGTGGTCCACGGCTGAGGAACATCATAAGAAAACACCTTTGGCATGACCATTAGTGCGTAAGTGGCTGACATCTTCAGTAGGGTTCGTGCTGGGGCTCCTCCAAGCAATCTCTCCAGGAACAGACTTTGCAGGACCTGAGATGGTAGTATGGAGGTTGTTAAGGGTCGCAGATGTTCAGGTTTCATTCTGCAGCTGTGTGCCACCAAAACCAATGGGTTACCCAGCAGGCAGGTCACCAGGCAGCCTCTGCTCACCTTCCAAAGCCCAGTAACGTCATGTGATATCAAAGCAATAAGTTAATAATTGTATCTTAATTTGTATACTTTAAATAGGCTTTAAATCTTCCCTTACATATAATAAGATATTAAAATCATCAAAGATAGATTGCAAATTAGTCCACACATCTCTATGTCCACTGCCAGCTTCCTATTCCTCACTGAATTAGTCCATTCTCATATTGCTATAAAGAACTACCTGAGACTGGGTAATTTATAAATAAAAGGGGTTTAATTGACTCACAGTTCTGCAGGCTGTACAGAAAGCATGACTGCGGAGACCTCAGGAAACTTACAATCATGGTGGAAGGTGAAGGGGAAGCAGGCACATCTTACATGGTCAGAGAAGGAGGAAGAGAGTGAAGGGGGATGGGCTACATACTTTTAAACAACCAGATCTGAGAACTTACTCATTATCATGAGAACAGCAAGAAGGAAATCCACCCTCATGACCCAATCACCTCCCACCAGGCCCCTCCTCCAACACTGGGGATTGCAACTTAACATAAGATTTGGGCAGGGACACAGATCCAAACCATATCACATACTGTGATCTACCCTTTCCTGGATGTTTATCACAATTTCCTAGTATGTCTCTATGATGTTCTTTCTGCCCTAGGCCAGAAAGATCCTTTTAAATATTAAATTGTGTCATGACACTCTGTCTCTTCAGAGCTTTCAGTTCCATCTCATTACACTTAGAATTTAAATCTCTCTCTCTCTCTCTCGTCTCTCAAGAATGGTTGAAGAGGCTCTGCGTGGTATGACCCCAGCTCATGCACCTTCATCTCATGGTCCTTTCTCTTCCTCCCTGTGCGCCAGCCACCCTGGTGTCCATCACTGGCTATAAAGCAACTTTTATCTTTCAAAAAAGGGAATTTAGTTTTAGGGCACCTCCATCTAATAAAGCCTAAAAACCTAATTGAATACCTGGAGGTTAATGACTAATTAACTTTGTTGATCAACATTGGGTAAAAAGCAACATTTGAAGAGAAAGTTTGTTTTTGGCCATCTCAGAAAGACACATGTGGGTCACAGGTGGTACGGCAGTGGCAGCTGCCAGCTCACATGGCACTAGGAGCCACCAACCTGTGATGCCCCTGAGCCATTCATCACTCTTGGCAGCAGGACTTTGATATTGATTAAGCAGCAGGCACGGGGGAAGGAGAAAAGAAGCTCTTGCCACTTCGTCTCGGCGTTTGTCTTTTCTCCAAACGTCAGGGCAGGGGAGCATCTGCTGCCAAGACATGAATTATAAACAGATGAAGAAACTCACTTTATGGGCCAATTCTCATCTTTTTCCTCTCCACCTATTCCCCCTATGCTATAAAACCCAATATATCCTCTGCTTAGTAAACTCTTAATCATGTAAAGGATCATAGACAGGGCCCCCTGTGACTCACACCATGGCCAGGAACAATTTCCAACACTTGTCACCTCCCATCTGCTGGGTTTATTAACGTGAGAAGCACCAAATAATGTTCAGCAACAGCCTCATCCTTTTCTCTTTTGTCCTCTGCCAAGGCATGAATCTAAAGAAACTCTTTAGGTACTTGGTTTTGCATTAGTTATTCATTGATTTTGTCAATTGATAAATATCTAACAAGCATTGATTAGCTAACAGACACTAAGAATAAAGCAAATGTAGTGCTTGCATTCATGGAGCTTAATTATTGTGAGGAACATATGAAGATAATTAGTATTTCATATATATATATATATATATATATATATATATATAATTTTGAAACAGAGTCTTGCTCGTCATCCAGGCTGGAGTGCAGTGGTGCAATTTTGGCTGACTGCACCCTCTGTCTCCAGAGTTCAAGTGATTCATGTGCCTCAGCCTCCAGAGTAGCTGGGACTATAGGTGTGCACCACCATGCTCAGATAATTTTTTTGTATTTTTAATAGAGATGTGGTTTCACCATGTTGCCCAGACTGGTCTTGAACTCCTAGGCTCGAGTGATCTGCCTGTGTCGGCCTCCCAAGGTGCTGGGATTACGGGCATGACCCACTGCACCTGGCCATATTTTTAATATTTTAATCTGAACAATTTAGAATAGAATATAGAGAAAACATAAAGAGGAAGAGATATGAATTTAAGTGGGTATATTTCATTGGACGAGTAAAAACTCATTGCTTCGGCCGGGCGCGGTGGCTCACGCCTGTAATCCCAGCACTTTGGGAGGCCGAGGCGGGCGGATCACGAGGTCAGGAGATTGAGACCATCCCGGCTAAAAAACGGTGAAACCCCGTCTCTACTAAAAATACAAAAAATTAGCCGGGCGTAGTGGCGGGCGCCTGTAGTCCCAGCTACTTGGGAGGCTGAGGCAGGAGAATGGCGTGAACCCGGGAGGCGGAGCTTGCAGTGAGCCGAGATCCCGCCACTGCACTCCAGCCTGGGCGACAGAGCGAGACTCCGTCTCAAAAAAAAAAAAAAAAAAAAAAAAAAAAAAAACTCATTGCTTCAGGTCAGTGGACATCGTACCTATCATCACAGATTTCTTGGTCAAAGTGGCACCCACCCCAAGACTTACGTAAGTGTTTCTATTGGTCAAGTGCAGTAGTTCACACCTGTATTCCCAATATTTTGGGAGGCCAAGTTAGGAGAATCACTTGAGGCCAGGAATTTGAGACGAGTATAGGCAACATAACAAGACCCCATCTCTAAAAAAAAAAAGAAAATAGCAAAATTAGCTGGACAAGGTGGTTCATGCCTATAGCCTCAGCTACTCTGCAGGCTGAGGTGGGAAGATTGCTTGAGCCTAGAAGTTCAAGGCTGCAGTAAGCTGTGATTATACCACTGCACCCCAGCCTGGGTGACAGAGTAAGGCCTTGTCTCAATAAATAAATAGATAAATAAATACTTCTATCTTTTGGGTTGCAGAGTCCCTCTTTGTACAAGGAAGGAATGGGAGATAATTCATGGGGCAAAGATGCATTCTTGAGGGTAATAGCCTGTGATACAGCACAAGACACAGGCTGCAGAGGACACGCAGGTGGAATCTGAGACCCTGAGAGTCAACCACCCTTCCCCCACTAGCTGGCTCCCCATTGGTCAGGTAGAGAAGTGAGGTGAGGTATATGACAAACGCTTCTCCACCATAACACCATTACATTAGTGTAAAAAGCACTTGATAATTTGTTAACAGTATTTGATTAATGTCTGGAGTCCTGATTTTGATAATCGCATTGTGGTTAGGAAGCAGGATTGCAGACGGGTAGCACCCTTTCTGCCAAAAGTAAAATTACCTTGCTGAGAAAAGTTTTTGTCTGAATGCTGATTCTTCCTTGCAGCACAGAAGAATAAGCAGTTAATTCCAACATTTTCCCATCAAATGGAGACCTGCGTGGCCTTTGGTTTAGCTTAAGGGATGATGTCTCCTCAAGCATGCAAGCAGGAACCAGTGTTTCCATTGCTTCTCTCCATCATCTCCATATCCTCCTAGTCCACATGGTGCTGCTGGTGTGTCATGGGCCTACTTCTGCACCCCATAACTTCCTCTGCCCCCTTGCATGGCTGCTGCAAGCAGCTCCTACTTGCTTTCCTGGACTTCCATTTTACCTCCTTTCAGCTCCTCCAAATCCCCGGCAGAAAACCATGTGTAAGACACTAATCTAATCATATTGCTCATCTGATTATTTCCATAAAACATTTTCCTACCATTTTAAGAATAAATCCAAATACCCTACTGTATCTGAAGCCCAACCTGACCTCTGGGCACTCACTGTCCACATCCCATATCCCAGCTGTAAGCGGGTATGTTGTTCTTACACGGGCAGTGTCTGCTACTTATCTCAGTGTTCACCTCCAGCTTTGGTTCTTCCAGAAACAGACCCTGAGGCACAGGTTCAAGTGATGAGTGTTTATTTGAGAAGTTCAGGAAAGACTAGACAAGAAGTGGGAACCTGGTAGAATAAGAGAAAGAGATGTCAGAGGGTGCTCTCTCTGGCCAGCAACCACAGGGATCACCAGATCTTTGGGTGAGGAAGTGTCAGGAAAAACTGCAGCAGACTTGTCTCAGAATTTTCCCATCTGAGCTGTGAGGGACCTGGGGTACTTATACTCCACCCAGTAAGAGTGATTCATGAGGGGCTGCTCCTAGGGACAGGTTCCTATTATTCTTCAGATGTCTCACCCACCCAACAGTCAGATAGTTGACTTTTTCACAGTTGTGGGTAGGAGGGCAGACGTAAGGCACAGAAGCACATGTATGAGAAGTTATAAGTTCATAGTAGAGTCGAATATTCACATGGAATGTTTCAAAAGCTATAGATAGGGTGGCCCACTGGGAATATCTGATATACCTTCTGTCCCTGTTCTCTCAAGACCCATCTTCAGCTCCTTTGCCTGGCCTATTTTTTATTGTCTTTTGTGCCTCATTTTGTGTGTTAACTCCTGAGGGCAGACTTCTCTGGCCTCCAGCATCCTGGCTTAGCTGCCACTGCTGTAGTGTCTCAAGCGCTCACTGCTGTCTCTCCCTCACAGCCCTGACTGCACTGCATTGTGACTGTCTGTGAATGTGGTGGTGGTTCCGCCAGACTACATACCGACTGAGGGCTAGGGCTGCCAGATTCGCATAGATGCCTAAATCTGAATTTCACACAAACAATGAATATATTTTTAGTCTACAGCACGCCCTGTGTATATGCTATACATGTGGCACCTATTGAGAGTCTTATGGTATCTGACAGAAAACAGGTACTAATTTTAATGAATGATTAAACAGAACATGCAAAGCAGCATATAGCTAATGTAACTGAAAACAGATGTACATCTGATCCTATGGCAAGCCTCTGTTACCCCAGCCAAAGTGAAGCCTGCACAACTATCATTTTTTTTGCAGAGTGACAAGACATTTAATGTGCGCTAACTTCAGGCAACACATTGGCTATCTGTCAGGTGCCATAGTCCTCTATCAGGGCATTCAAATGGAACCTGTACAGCAGCCAAGGCAATGAAACTGCAAAAAGCTGATGGGATGAGGAGATTGAGATCTAAACATCCACATGTTTCATGACCCTTTGTATTAAATCATTTATGGGAATGACTGTGTTGCTAAATTTAACAGAGTGTAACAATAGTCAGTAGTCTCATAATGATTATTTCCCTCCTCACTTGATTGGTTAAGTTTGCGATGAGGGCAGATCACCTGAGGTCAGGAGTTCGAGACCAGCCTGACCAACATGGAGAAAGCCTGTCTCTACTGAAAACACAAAATTAGCCTTGTGTGATGGCACGCACCTGTAATCCCAGCTACTCTGGAGGCTGAGGCAGGAGAATAGCTTCAACCCGGGAGGCAGAGGTTGCAGTGAGCTGAGATTGCGCCATTGCACTCCAGCCTGGGCAACAAGAGCAAAACTCTGACTCAAAAAAAATAAAATTAAAAAAGTTTGCCATGATATCCTGTCAAAGATAAGGGATTCCTTTTATTAGGAGACAGTTCACGAGAGTATCTGGTGCAGGCTCCTGCTTTGACAAAACGCAATAGAGGACACAGAAGTGGAGGAAATTAAACAGACAAACACGGACAATGTGAGACCAGAAAATGAACTGTTTCCACTGTCTGATCATTTCATTAGGGAATTGACTTCATCCCCAAGCCTGAAGCCGTTTTACTCATCTCCCATTTTCCCAGTCTCTCTCATACACAGACACACCCTATGCCACAGTCTCTTGCCAAAGAGTTACAAATCCATTTGGCTTCCAGGCCACGAAGACAACTGAAATTCACAAATTGCTACTCACCTACACTCATTTTTTAAAAATAAACTTTATTTATTTTTGCTCACCAATTATGTATTTATGCGTGTATTTAATTATTTTATTTTTATTTTAATAAAACTTTTTTTTGGGACAAGATATCCCTCTGTCACCCAGACTGGAGTCCAGTGGCACAATTATTGCTCACTGCAGCCTCAACCTCTTGGGATCAAGCCATCCTCCTACCGCAGCCTCCCGAGTAGCTGGGACTACAGGCATATGCCACCATACCTGGGTAATTTTTTTTTTTTTTTTTTGAGATGGAGTCTTGCTCTGTCACCAGGCTGGAGTGCAGTGGCATGATCTCGGCTCACTGTAACCTCTGACTCCCTGGTTCAAGAGATTCTCCTGCCTCAGCCTCCCAAGTAGCTGGGATTACAGGTATGTGCCACCATCCCCAGCTAATTTTTTTTTTTTTTTCAGTAGAGACGAGGTTTTGCCATGTCGGCCAGGATAGTCTTGATCTCCTGACCTCATGATCCACCTGCCTCAGCCTCCCAAAGTGCTGGGATTGCAGGCTTGAGCCACCACTCCCGGCCCATACCTTGGTAATTTTTAAAAAGTTTTTGTAGAGACGTGGTCTCACCACGTTGCCCAGGCTGGTCTCAAAGTCCTGGGCTCAAGCAATCCTCCCTGCCGTGGCCTCTCAAAGTTCTGGGATCACAGGCATGAGCCACCGTGCGTGGCCAACTATTCACAGCAAAATTGAGTGGAAGGTACAGAGATTCCCCATATCCCTCCTCTCCCCGCACAGGCACAGCCTCCCTCATTCTCAGCATCCCTCACCAGAGTAGTCTACTTGTTACAATGGATAAGCTTATATTAACAAGTCATTATGACCCAGCCTCCATAACTGCCATTAGGGTTCACTCCTGGTGGTGTCCATTCTGTGGATTTGGAGAAATTTATAGTGTATCCACCAGTGTAGTAACATACAGACTACCTTCACTGTCCTAAAAATCCTCTGTGCACTGCCTATTCATTTCTCTCTCTAGTTTTTACTGCATCCAAAGATGGATAAGACGTAGCCATATTTTCTCACTTTCGGAGAAAATCCTGGGACCTAAAAGTGAAATCCCACAATTTTTGAATCTCTCGAGCCCAGACCTGTGCTCACAGCAGTCCCCATGACATCCTACCTGACACCCAGCTCCTGCTTAATCCCCACTTAAAACTTGGCCTAGCCCACTCTAGCCAGTTCAGCCCTCAGGGAACCCCCCTGCCTCTGTTTTCCAAACTACCCCATGCACCAGTCATGGGGAATTTATCCCAGATTCTCATCACCACGAATGGCAACTATCCATATCAGTCATTGTACAGACACTGCCTCATATATATTTATACATTTACTTAGTTATGTATGTCATATTTCAAAAGATTATGATGATTTAAAAATAATATCCAAACAACATGCTTTGTCTATAGAGTTTAATTTGAACAGAACAATTGGAGAGGATAATTATCAGGAGTGTTTCTGTTAAGACCTAAGCTAAGGGCTTTCTTTTCTTTTTCACTTAATCCAACCTCATCATAATCCCAGGAGGAAGTTACCACTACAATCCTTATTCTTTGGGGAAACTGAGTCCAAGGGAAGTGACACCTCAAGTGGCTACACAGGTAGTGAATATCAGAGCTTGAGTTTAAATCCAGGTTGTGGGGAATTCTAAAAAAATGTCCTTAAGAAGCATTTGGGTGAAAGGATAACTTGTGGAGTGCTGAGACTTTCTCAGATCCAACATAAGGCTCCAAAAACCGTGAACATGTCCCAGAATCTAGAAACGGGAGAAGCCAGTGGTTTGCAGTGAGCCTTCCTCAGGTATACTTACGGTGCCTATAGGCTAAATCAATACCAACATCTCTTTTCAGGAACATCCTTGGCTCTTTTCACTTATTTGTTAAGTATCTTCTTCCTTTTTTTTTTTTTTTTTTTTGAGATGGAGTTTCCCTCTTGTTGCCCAGGCTGGAGGGCAGCGGTGCGATCTCAGCTCACAGCAACCTCCACCTCCCAGGTTCGAGCGATTCCCCTGTCTCAGCCTCCGGAGTAGCTTGGATTACAGGCACCCACCACCATACCCAGCTAGTTTTTGTATTTTTAGTAGAGACGGGGTTTCTCCATGTTGGTCAGGCTGGTCTTGGACTCCCAACCTCAGGTGATCCATCCACCTTGGCCTTCCAAAGTGCTGGGATTACAGGCGTGAGCCACCATGCCCGGCCCATTAAGTACCTTCTTTTACTCACTTTACTGGAAAGATTCTGTGCTACAATTCTGCCTTTTAATGGGCAAGTAACATACTTACTTTTCTTTAACTGCTCAAGACCAAGCATCCCTAAGGAAATAGAAGCAGATAGCGATGCTTGCAGTTCTGGAATTTCAGAATGCCTCATAGACCTGCCTCCTCATAAATGCTGCTTTGCCTTCCAATTTTAAACCTAAACTCAATCCTTCATGAGGGGAAGTATCAGGTATCATGATAACATAATAATCTTGATTGAAGTATAACAAACACACATGAAAACACTGTGTATTAATCAGGGTTCCCTAATAGGATAGATGTATATATGGAAGGGAGTTTATTAAGTATTGACTCACACGATCACAAGGTGAAGTCCCACCATAGGCCGTCTGCAAGCTGAGAAGCCAGGAAGCCAGTCCAAGTCCCAAAACCTCAAAAACTGGGAAGCCGACAGTGCAGCCTTCAGTCTGCGGCCAAAGGCCCGAGAGCCCCTGGCAAACCACGGGTGTTAAGTTCAAGAGTCCAAAAGCTGAAGAAGTTGGAGTCTGATGTTCAAGGGCAGGAAGCATCCAGCAGAGGAGAAAGATGAAGGCTGGAAGACTCAGCAAGTCAAGTCCTTCCAACTTCTTCTGCCTGCTGTATTCTAGCCACACTGGCAGCTGATTGGATGGTGCCCATCCAGATTGAGGGTGGGTCCGCCTCTCCCAGTCCACTGACTCAAATGTCAGCCTCTTTTGGTGACACCCTCACAGACACACCCAGGAACAATACTTTGCGTCCTTCAGTCCAATCAAGTTCACACTCAGTATTCACCATCAGACACTGTGGTAAGTGTTCTTGCCTTAATCACAGTTTCACATTACGATGCACAGGGGCCATAACCTGGACTAATGTGACCACAGAGAGCTTTGTCTGGCCCAATTCATGTTTAATGTCTTCACGAAGAGAGCCCATGCTCTTCAGGCACCGCAAGCCTCACCAGCTCATCATGCACTTGCAGTCACTTGGGTTGCGCACTTGGTACCAGTAGGTATTTGCTTTTGGAATGCCTGGAACTTTTGTGAGGACTGTGTATTTTCTGTCTCTCTCTATATAGAGGTGCTAATATCTGATTAGCACCTCTATATGTATATAGAGGCAGAAATATCTGATTAGGTTTTTTATTTCTAATCTGAGGATTGAATTTAAATATCCTTCAAGAAAGAGCAGACAGATATAAGTTATCAGTGACTCGTAGTTATTTGTAGCTATTGGGAAGACTCATTCTTTGATGGTTCAGAGAAGGCACTGTGCCTTTTTCAGAACTCGGCTGCTGAGTTAAGTTCTCATGTGGAGGCTGACATCTGGTGAAAGATGTCACACCCGTGGGAAGGAGATACATATACCAAACTCAAGCCCACCATCTGTTAAGTGCAGAAGTGGCTTCAGTGCATTAAGGAGACTTCACCTATGCGTCTTTCTACAGAAGGAAAGTGAGCCTGATGCTAAACAATGGTATGTATGATACAGGGTGCTACAAATGGAAGCTTCAGCTGGGCATCAAGAGTGTAGGTAGGCACTTCAAAGTGAGGACAAGAGCAAATGCAAGGACCCACCACTCACAGCCATCTCTTTTTTTTTTGGGGGGGAAAGGGGGAGGGACAGAGTCTCGATCTGTCATCAGGCTGGAGTGCAGTGGCGTGATGTCGGCTCACTGCAACCTCTGCCTCCTGGGTTCAAGCGATTCTCCTGCCTCAGCCTCCCAGTAGCTGGGATTACAGGTACCTGCCACCACGCCTGGCTAATTTTTGTATTTTTAGTAGAGACTTAGCTTCACCATGTTGTCCAGGCTGGTCTTTAACTCCTGACCTCAGGTGATCTGCCCGCCTTGGCCTCCCAAAGTGCTGGGATTGCAGGCATGTCACAGGCCATCTCTTTACAACCACTTAATATTTACAAGTGTGTCCCAGTTTCCAGAGTATGAAAGAAGGGTCCTAAGAACCAGTCTCAATAAGGAAAATTAGATTAGATTTAGCTCATTTGATGCATCTCTACTTTGTTCCTGCTTCTGGGAAGAGAGGGACTTATTAAAGTCTAGCATAAATCTGGTAAGAGCTGGCATATTCAATTTAGTAATTATTATTAATATAAATGATTATTAATAAATGAGAGTTTTGTAACTTAGTAAGAAGGTAGGAAACCATTTGTTTCCTATTGAGGATAATTAACCATGAAGGGAATAATTATAGACCTCATAAGTGAAAATCAAATTAATTTTATATAATTTTTATTTTGTATAGTTTTATGCTCAGAGAAGTATAAAATTTCTACTTATTAGTTTTTTGTAAATAAGAACAAGAAACCTGAAACTGTTCAATAATATAATAATGTTATAAAGATTACATTTAATCTTTTATTTAAATTCTACATTATGGACAGTTGGGAAGAAAATGAGGATAAAAGATTCAGAGACTCAGAGAATCAGGATGGGGTTTACAGAAGAGCTGGGAGTCTGGAGATTTGGGTCCATCTAGTCTGGGCTCCATGATGAGAAATCTTCATGGAGTCATTCCTACTGCGCAAAAAGAGTTTTAAACTCGTTGGCCGCTTTGGTATCATCTATCTGTGAATTAGAATCAGAAGGGAGAGAGGAAGAGTTAGTTTAATGACACTCTCTCAATTATTGATACAAATAGAAAATAAACAAAAGTATAACAAACTTGAACAACTCAATTAAATTGGACTCAAATGATCGTTATTGGACCCTCCACCTAACAAGATCAGCGCACATATTCTTCTCAAGTACTCATGAATCATTTCCCAATATAGAACATATTCTGGCCCGTAATAAAGCTTCAAGAAATTTAAAAGGATTTGAATAATATAAATTTTATTATCTGACCAACATGGACATAAATTAGAAATCAGTAACAGAAAGACCTACAAAAAACTTCCAGATATTTGGAAATCAAACAGCACAATTTTAAGAAACTTAAATCAGAAACTGGAAAGCATTTTGAATTAAATGGAATGAAATGGAAATGAAATGCAACATATCAATATTCGTAGGACATGGCTAAAACATTACTTGGGAAAAGTTGTTTCATGAAAATTTGTGTGACTCTGCCAAAATCAGAAAAGTTGTTTTTGTTTCTTTTTTTTTTTTTTTTTTTTGAGATAGGATCTTGGTCTGCTTCCCAGGCTGGAATGCAGTGGCATGGTCACAGCTCACTGCAGCCTCAATTCCTGGGCTCAAGTGATCCTCCCACTTCAGCCTCCAGAGTAGCTGGGACCACAAGCATGTGCCACCATGCACAGCTATTTTTTGAATTTTTATTTCTGTAGGAACAGGGCCTTGATATGTTGCCTAGGCTGATCTCCAACTCTTGGCCTCAAGTGATTCTCCTGCCTCAGTCTCCCAAAATGCTGGGATTATAGGCATGAGCTATTGCAGTACCTGGGCAAAATTTACTGGAAAAAAAGTCTGTGTTAGAAAAGAAGTAGGGCCGGGTGCAAATTAATGACCTAAACTTTCACCTTCAGAAATAATCCCAAACAGAGAAAGGGAAATAAGAAAGAAGGGCGAATAAAACCCAAAGTAAGCAGAAGAAAAGAAAGAAAAAAGATCAAAGTGAAAACCAATAAAATTGAAGAGAAAAGCAATAGATAAAAATTAAAGAAAAAAAACCTAGTTCTTTAAGAAAAATTGAAAGCCCTCAGTCAGATTTACCAAGAAGCAAAGAGAGAGAGAGAAGACAGAACTTGGCAATGTGCAGGACTAGAGAGGTCATTTCGCTGCAGATTCTACAGACGGTAAAATAATAAAAATGAAACATGGTGAACCCCAAGCCTATAAATGCACGCACTTAGTTGTAATACGTAAATTCTTTGAAAGACAAACTACCAAAGCACACTCAAAAATAAATGTATTAAGCCAGGTGTGGTGGCTCACGCCTGTAATCCCAGCCCTTTGGGAGGCCGAGGAGGGTGGATCACCTGAGGTCAGGAGTTCAAGACCAGCCTGGCCAACATGGAGAAACCTCATCTCTATAAAAATACAAAAATTAGCAACGCATGGTGGTGTGTGCCTGTAATCCCAGCTACTTGGGAGGCTGAGGCAGGAGAATCACTTGAACTCGGGAGGTGAGGTTTGCAGTGAGCTAAGATCGTGCCACTGAACTCCAGCCTGGGCGACAGAGTGAGACTTTGTCTCAGATAATAAGAAATAAATATATAAAATTAATATCTGAGTTTATTAAAGAAATTTAAGATAAACCTTCCCACAAAGCAGCCAGATGGCTCCACTGGTGAATTCTACCATATGTTAAGAATGTTAAGAATAAATAAATATACAAATAAATAATAGCAATTCTACTCAATGTCTTCTAGAAAACTGAAGAGGAGAAGACATTTACTGGCCAATGAATTCCATGAGAGCAGCATTATTTTTATACCAAAATCTGCCATAGATAAAATAAGAATGACAGCTGTAGATTCATATCCTTAATATAGATGCAAAAGTTCTGAACAAAACGTAATTCAATAATATATATAAGCAATATATAATTTATCATGGCCTAGTATGGTTTACTCCAGTAATACAAGGTGTTTTTTAACTTCTGAATATCAATCAGGGATAAATTTATTAACAGACTGAAAAACAGAAACAAATATAACTATTTTTTTAAAAAGTAGGAATTGCATTTGGCAAAATCCAACATCTATTTCTGTTAAAAAGCAAATGAACAAACAAGAAATACTCAGTAAACTTGTAATAGGAAATAAATGATTTCCCAAGTGAGTAAAGAATATTTACAGAAATACTCCAGCTAATATCATCCTTACAGGTAAAAGACAGTTTTACTTAGCGGTAGTTTTTACTCAGAGATAAAAGACCCTTAAGGTGGTGAGCAAGTCAATGATGCCAGCTCTGACTAATAGTTTATTCAACATTGTCCAGGAGATTCTACTCAGAGAAATAAGGCAAGAAAACAGAAGGAAAAGACTTGAAAATATGTCTTTATTTCACAAAAGATCTCCTGGAACTCATCAGTGAGTTTTAAAATGTTGCCAGATACAATATTTTGAAAATCCATTGTATGTCTATTAGCAATAGACAATTCAAATTTAAAGAAACGGCTAGCATTTAAAATGGAATAAAAATATGTGTAAGAGAGGAATAAACCTGACAAAAGATGCATAAATTCTGTACAGCATGTGAAACACCACACAGAACCAGCCTCCTCTGTGGCACCTGCCAGAGTGAACACAGCTTGTCACTTGCCTCCTCTGATTCCAGATCTTGCCTGCTCCTCGGACCCTGAGAATTAATCAAGGCTCTCCAGAAATGAGCCCCTATGAGCCTCTGAAGGCCTCACTCTGGTCTTCCTGGTCCATACCCTTTCACCTTCCGTTAGACTCCAGGGGCTGCCTTAACAACATACAACAAATAAAGTGGCTTCAAAGAACAGATCTTCATTTTCTCACAGTTCTTGAGGCCAAAACTCTGAAATCAGTGTTGGTTCCTGCTGAGGCTGTGCTGGGAACCTTCTCTAGGTCTGTTGTAGCCTCCGGGGAGTGCTGGAGACCCTTGACCTTCCTTGGCTTGGAGATGTGTCACTCCAATTTCTGCTTTCATCTTCACCAGACCTTCTCCCTGGGTCTTCCCACGACTGTCTTCTTATGAAGGACACCAGGCATATTGGATTAGGGGCTCCTCCTACTCTAGTGTGACTACATCAGAACAAATTATATGTGAAAGGACTCTATTTCCAAATAAAGTCACATTCTGGGGTACTGGATTTAGAACTTTAACAGTTTTTTTTTTCTTTTTTTGCGGATACAATCCAAGGCATGACACCTTCCATACACCAATGATATCGTGGGGTTTCACTTGACCACTTCCACTGGGCATGGTTGGACAGTCTGGGGCAGCAGTGGCCTGGGTTTGAGTGACTTCTTGTTCTGCCTCTTACAGGTTTAGTGAATCTAGACAGATCATTATTCTTCTCTGGGCCCTCTTTCCTGACATCTATGAAATGGGTGTGAACGCTGTTTCATCCTTCTAGGATTGTTATAGTGATGAAGTAATGAAGTCACTTCATGGGCAATTCCTATAATCCTATCCCAATGAGTGTTATTAATTCTAGTCGTTATCCATCAAGACACTGTTCAGATTTATGTCTAGTTTTTACTTTCCATGATAACCTGCCTTTTCTAATTTATTGATCGTTTCAAAAGGCATCTATGGCAATGTGTGTTCAACTGTCCTATAGCCTCATTGTCACTGGTCTATGAATCTGTCGCTGAGGGCATTCTCGAAACTCTCAAAAACAGGATCTAAACCTTGCTCTACCATACCTACCCAGAACCTTGTATTTGGCAGCTTTAGCAAGGGTTTGGCAAATTAAGTTCAGAAAATGTACGGACAAATTCTAGAGAGATTATTTCAAAAGCCAACATCGAACAAGACAGGCAATGGTTCCATGGCTTCCCGCTGACTTAGGAAAAAGACAAAGCTCTTTGATATAGCTGACAAAAATCCATGTAGCCCAATTCCCACTTTTCTCTCTGGTTAAGGTCCCCAAGTTCCCATTCACACTCATCTTTGTGCATCGCTGGCCTTGCCTTGTCTTTCATACTCACTATGCTCTCTCCTTTCCCAGGACGTTGGCATAGGTTGCTCCCTCTGTTCTGAACCCTCAACTCCTGCTTTCACCTGGTAAATGCTTCTGTATCCTTCAGGCTCCAAGTCAAATGTGAGGTCCTCAGAAGCCATCCCAACATCCTGGAGTGTGTCAATTCCACCATTTCATGGTCCTCCTCTGCATAGACTTGTAGGTGCTGTAATTTTCCATATGGTTATGGGACTATCTCTCTCCCGTAGCCTGCACAGGCAGAGAGGCAGGGACTGGCTTCCTTATTCCACACTGTGCCCCTCTGTGACCATTACATATTAAAAAAAGGTTTCATTTGTTAATTAATTAGCACCAGAACACATGTGAGCATATTTTACTTTAATATTACCCTTTAGTGGATTACATTAAAAAAGTTTTAGAAACAAATAAAAAAATGTAAATAATTCCTGATTTTATGTGACACCTAAGGAGATGCATCTATGCTCAAGAATATGTTGCTAAATATTATAAAAGAATAATGAAAAATGTGCCCTTTTTTCTAATTATACATATATCACATAAAATATATAAACATACATATTTTCTAATTATATTTATGTATATATACACCATTCATACGGTCATGCATATATGTATGTATATATGAAAGAAAAAGATAAAAGACATTTTTATAAGTTATCTTAAGGAAAGGGTTATTTGAACTAGATAGCCAACAAGGTTTTGTAAGACCATGAAAACCATCAAATATATGCCTTCTTTTGAAGATTACACATCTCTGTTTTTTATCTTGTCTCATCATTTTAACTTAATGTTGTGGTCCTAGTCAATATTTATTGTCTATTAAATATGTATCTCACACAAAGACAATCTTAGCTCACACCAAGTACATATCAAATTTAATAAGGGGCTACTGGTAGCTGGGGATTCATTACCATGGCATGAGTTTTTATATCCAGATGTGGGAAACACAATCATTAAAAATAAATCATCATATGTATTTACATTAAATGGCAACTAAAATACCTAAAAATATAGTTTTCTCATAAAGATTAAATGAGATAATAAGGGAACTATCTTATTAATTTGGGTCACCAACATTTTAACGTAATGTAACACTATGTACACTAAACTAATCATGAGCCATTAATGGTGTGGAATTTTAAAATGCTACACCATCCTATTAAACATTACTGGTAACACTGATAGAACCAGACACAGCTTGAACTTCTGCTCTAACACTTCTTATGCCTGCATGACAATGTCATTATAGTAAAGATAGTTTTATAGGATTGATTTTATATAAATGTGAAGCCTCATAAGGCCCCAGGCTGCAATCATCAGTATGAAGAGTTTACCACAATGCTTCTGTTATATTTTAATATAGATAAGTCGTTGTCACACTGTGTTCCATGGACCCATAGTTTCCACAGCAGACCTGCTTTTTTTAGGGGAAGAACAAAATGGGTGGTGAAGGGTGAGCATCAGGTTGAGTTGGGTTCATGAGTTCCTGCCTGGAGCAGCTACCCTTTTGTCTGGGGATTCAGATAAAAGAGGAATGCAATTGGTAGAATGTCATCTATGACAGACGAGGTATATCTTCTAGGCTGTGTTTGACTATAAACAACAGAAAACCTAAGTCTGAGTGATTTAAAACAAAAAGACATTTGTTCTTCACTTAATGAAATGTCCGGTAGTGGCTACCTCATGGTTGGCTTAGTAATAATTAAAAGATGTTATTAGAAATGCAGGCTCCTTCCACTGTTTCACTCTAACATGCTCAACTTGTTATTTCCTCTCTAATGCTCAATGCCTCACAGTCCCAAAGGGGTTGCCTCAGCTCCAGGCATCACATCATCACAGACAGCATACAATGCAGTACTGAATGTGATACAGGAGAAAAAGATAGCCTATGCATTAAAAAAAATAAGTGAAGGATTTTTCTCCAGAGCTCCCAGTTCTGACTTATGTCCCATTGTCCAGAAATAAGTCAGATGTGGCCCCACAGTCACTGGGAACAGCACTGCAGTAACGATCAGACCAGTCTTGTTAGATCCTCTGGGTTGGGAATATGACTGGCCCAATAACATCAGGTTTAGGAAACTGGGAGACAGTGAGAATGGCTGCTGGTGTTGGCCAAAGGAGGATAACAGCTTTGGGCACAAGTTGGTTTTCTGCTGGGTGGGAGATAATGAAGAAAGTGCTCGTTTGGGAGTTTTGACTGTGAAAAGGTCCTATTAATGAGCACCAGTGAATTATTTTTAAAATTACCGCGGTTATCCTTTTTCCCTTACAAAGAAAAGCAATACAGGTGAAAATTAGCTACTTTCTTAATCTAAACTTGAGATTTCCCAGAGATTCACCTTCTGGTCACCTCTAACCTAAAAATTGGCTCTTTGTATTAAACATGACTACCATAATGCCACATTGCTCTGTTAGCTGCCAAAGGGAGATGTTTAGAAGTGAAATGATAAGAATATTTTTTAATAAACTTTAATTTCAAAGTGTGGACAAATAGAATTCTTTCAAGATCCCCTGTGCAAATCAAGAACCTGGAAGGCAGTTTTAGGTAGAAGGAGGAAATTTTCTTTTACATTGAAAACAAAAAAAGCAAAAGCAAATGTAATTTTACTACAATTTCTGTTGAGTTTTCCAGATTAAATCAATCATTTAGTGACAAATTATTTTTCGTAGTCATTTTTCATAGTCATTTAAGTCATTGATTGGGGTGGTTCACTGAAGTGCTGCCACAATTAAATATTTCACAATCAAGTCAAATAGATCCTTAACAATGATATGCAAAACCCACGTATTGTAGTGGTACTAACTTTGCAAAAACTGCATTCATTTATCATGGATGACTCAGACATGATGTGGAATTCGCTCATGTGCAATCAAGCCTACATGAGCTTATTTTGGTTACATTAATAGCTGAATCTCTGATGAGAGACACCAGGAAATAATAATCAAACTCATTCAGACTTTTCTGCTGTATATGTGAAGCTGCTCAGCAATGATTCATGCATTTGCAACTTTTAGGAGAATAAAAAATATGATGTCATGTGAGGCATGAGCCAATAAGGGTGGATAGAAATGGACACAAACTAATTACAGCAGTGAAGAGCAGGCTTTTCCATCAGCTTCCATTCCAATAAGCCAGAGGTTTGATATATGAGCAATTATGTTACTAGCTGGTGGAACTTCAACTTCTCCTCTGCAAATTAGTGAGCACTATTCTTTTGCAAAACATTTTTATTCATTTGAAAATATTTTAATACATAGATATTTTTAAGTAAAAAAGTAGAAAATACAGATGAGATTAAAAATGGAATGTGATGAAATTTCTACCATCCAGGGAAATAATGTTCTTTACAAATAGCATTTCCAAAATATATCAAAAATACAAAATAGTCAGATGTAGTTTCTCTGCTTTCCTGCTGATTGGTCCTACTCCTGAGTTGACGTGATAAATGTATATTTTACAGACTGATGCCTCTGATGTGAGCTCAACCACAACCCTGTAGATACAACTTTAAAGCTTAGGACTCACTGTAGCTCTGTTCCTCTCTCATTCAGCATCATACACCATTCTGTAATTAGTCACAGGCCAAATCAACAACTTATAAATGTGCCGCTGGATTGAAATCAATAATCCATTAGCACAATGGATTCTCCAGCTTTCTCTAAATCTGGACAATGGTGGTGTTACTTTAAATGGTATCAGCTGGACACGTTTTGACCCCGAAAGCTGACCACTTGCAGGTGACCTCCTGCTGTTCACACAGAACATGGCTGGGCAAGGTTAGTGGTAAGAAACACTAGTTAAAGCTTGAGCAGCAAAGACTGCAACAACGCTTATTCAAAGAAATTGATTTATACTTCACAAAATCATTTCCTTTGGAAATAGGCAAGCAGGTGGCTGCAATTTATATTTGTTAAGTTTTCCCCTGCTGCTTTTATTTTTTTTTATCCTTACGGACAGCTTTTTAACAAAACTGCTAATGTACAAGTATTTATCCTTCTTGTTTTTTTTTTCTTCTATGTCCATTTCCTTCTCTGCCTTCATCATGGAAAGTTTTAATCAAAAATGTAAGCACTATCTACCAGAAACGAAATGAGCAAAATAATCAATGTATTTCCTTTTTTAAAATGTATATCTAAATAGATCACTTGTGGAAAATTATGAGTAAGGACCGATTATGATTCCACATTGTGGAGTTGTGCAATGTTTTCCT
Organism: Homo sapiens; assembly: GCF_000001405.40. Lineage (NCBI taxonomy): Eukaryota > Metazoa > Chordata > Mammalia > Primates > Hominidae > Homo > Homo sapiens. The sequence goes on from NW_019805499.1 coordinate 153,494, forward strand.
GCCAGGCCCTGAGCAATCATTATAATCAAAATTCTTTTTTTTTTTTTTGAAAAACGGAAATGAAATTTCAAACTTTCTAAACAGTGCAAGATGGTGGCAGATAGTAGCTAATGCAAAAAGTTAATGGAAACTTAGATCCATAGATCACACTGAATAATTAGAAAAGAGGATGTGATCTCCCATTGCCTAGTAACTTTATCACATCTTCTCCTCTTTCAGAGATATTGAAGAACCTAAGTTAGTGTTTGCAAAAGTAATGGCAAGATGAGAGCAGAATTAGTTGCTTTGCCTATACTTCTGAGGACAGCAGGAATGGACACCTCCCCTACCCTCATGCGGGTGGGACATCTTTGTGAAGCTTATATTTTCAAGGAAGAATCTTGAAAAAATATCTACGGCACCCCAGCACCGTCATCACTCCTTCCTCAGATTTCACCCAGCTGCCCGCCTAAGCTAGCACATCTGCAGAGGTAACACTGACCCCAGCATGAATATAGACCTCCAAGTGTGCTTCCTCTCAGCTGTATCTAGCCACACTGTTCTTCTACTGTTGGACTAGAGTCTCAACTACTGCCTGCAAGACTTCCCTGCTCCTGTCTTTCAGTCTGAACCCTGCTTACCACCAAGTGTCTACAGGGCATTAGGC